>NC_000006.12:4302424-4453939 GCF_000001405.40 Homo sapiens | reverse complement strand
CTAAATCTCCCAGCCATCTCTATCTTCTCCTCTTTTAGCTCCCTTTGCTGCACAGGTGGCAGACCTCCTCTTCTTTTCTCTTCCACATCTGGTGTCTTAGCCCTGGTTCCTCTAATATGGACAATGAGACAATGAAATAGCTCCTCAACTGGTCTTCTCAAGTTCTGTCCTTATCCTTGCCCTAGCCCCCAATTGGTGCCAAAGAATAATTTGATGGAATTCTACACCCATTCATTACTTAAAAATAAATAATAAATACACAATCAAGTAAACCTCCTATCAAACTGAAAATAAAAAGACAACTAACATAACGAAGATTATCTTAGACTGGCAGCCAACATCATATTTATCAGTCAAATGTTGCGGCATTCTCTTTAAAGCCATGAACAGGACAAAGATGCTCTTCATAATTAATAGCAAGAAAAAAGAATAAGAAAAATAAGACAGAAATAGGTATCATTATAATTATATCATTATATCATTATTATATAATTATATATATCATTATATCATTATAATCATTATAATTAATAGCAAGAAAAAAGAATAAGAAAAATACGACAGAAAAAATAGATATAACCATTATAAAGACAGGCAAAATTATCTCACAGTATTTATTGATTTTTTGAGGAAATGGATGAAAGAATGAATCACATGGATAAATATTTATGGTAGATTAAGAGAAAAAATAGTGACAAAAAAGAATATGTAGTACATAATCCCAATTTAGTGAAAGAAAATAAATAATATTCAATGAATGAGGAAAATTTTTATAGCTGAAGAAAATTGGTTTGCAAATGTCCATACATTAGAATCCAAGTTTAATTATATATTGTTTTCCCCAAAATTGTTCTTCAAAGATAGAAACCAAAATGTTAACAATAATTATTTTTGGGAGATGATTTTATAGATGAATTTTATTTTATTTTGCTCTTGTGTTTATTTCATGTTTTTATAGAGAAATGGATTCCTTTGAAATTAGGGAAATATTATGAAAAAAAGAAAGCTTCTAATTTTTAAGTTCTAATATAGACACTAGGCAAAGGTTAACTTTCCTGGCATTTTCCTTGTGGCTGTCCAAAAATTAGCTACTCATCAACCATTCACACAAGATGTAATGTCGTCTTTCTTTCAAATGCCTTAATGTGTTCTAAATGTAAGGAACATTCTTTTTCTCTTTCCAAGAACTTCTAGGCATGAAACACCCTTAGGGAGAATTTCCTTCTTAGAAGTGATTTGTTAGTTGGTGTCACAGTTCTCAGAAGTTCTGTGAATAAGTCAGGGACCCAAGATCAGGCATAGTAAAGTTAACCTGCAGCTGAAGAGTATACAGCTGATTTTACCATTATGGTGGATAAAGAGAGGAGGGCCTTGTTGGCTTATTGAGGCAAGAAAATTGACAGGGAAATCTTGAACTGAGTCACAGAGAACACTGTTCAGTCTTGCACCTGTTCAAAATCAAGAAGACCCTTAGGATTGTGACCCAAAACTGCCACAACAAGTGTTCGGTCCAATTAGAAATTAACAAACCCATCTGATTTGGGAAATTCAGCTACACCTCCCAATGACCTAATCCTTCTCCACTCCTGATGCTATTTTTTGAACCCTTTAGTCTTCAACTTGACATTGTCCCAGTTTTTGGATTTCTGATCTCCTGATTGTGAATTCTGTTACTAGTCTCCCATACTGACTCCCAAGACCATGAGCCTAGCCAGGTCTCTGGGTTATATCTCTGCACAGCTGGTCAGGTGGGGCATACAATACAAAGTGGTGCTAAAGCCACAGACTGTAGGGCATACTTCTGAGTATATTCTCACTGGGGGTTCACTGAATTTCTTAGATCTGTGAGTTTCTAATTTTCATCAAATTTGGAAAGTATTCAACCGCTTTATCTTTAAATATGTTGTTCCCTTCCCTCTTTTTAGGATTTAATTACACATTTAAACAACTTGCTGTTATCCTAGAAGTCTTTGAGGCTCTGTTAATTTGATTCAGTTTTTTTTCTCTACTTACTTTATTTTGAATAATTTCTATTGTTATTTCTTCAAGTTCATTAATCTTTTCTTTTGCAGTGTCTAAACTGTTGTTGTCAAGCCTATCTAGTGATTTTTTTTTTCCATCTCAGATACTATATTTTTTATCTGTAGGAGTTCCATTTGGTTCTTTTTTATATATCCTTCTTCCCTACACATGAAGTTGTTTTATTTTAAATCCTTCAGCATACGTATAATAGTTGTTTTAACGTCTTTGCTCATTCCACAATTGGTGTCGATTGTGGTTCTGGGTCTATTGACTGATTTTCCACTCCAGTTTATGGGTCTTATTTGCCATTTCATGTCTAGTAAGTTTTTACTGGATGGTGACCATTGTGTTATTAGGTTGCTGAGTGTGTGGATTTTGTTGTCTCCCTGTAAATAGCACTGAGCTTTGTTGTGTCAGGCAGTTAAGTTATTTGCAAATCAGCTTGATCCTTTCGAGGATTGCTTTTAAGCATTATTAGGACAGGTCTAGAATAGCCTTTAGTCTAGGGCTAGATAAGCTGTCTCACTACCCCTTCTGGAGATTCTACTGAATGCTTCAGCTATTTGAAATTCCTCCACTCTGCATTATTGGAACACAAGTGTCTATTGCTCCTCTGTGAGTTCCAGGAATTGTTGATCATAATGTTCCTTAGCAATTATTTGTCTGGCCTCATGGAGATCCCCCTCTGTAGACTTATGGAATTTCTGTAGACTTACGCAGATTTCTCAGCATAGCTATCACTTTTCTGAATTCTTTCACACAAATCCTAGCTACCTTGGGATCCCTGAACTTTAATGTGTCTCTTCAGTTCAGAAAGACTACCATGCATTGTGCGGGCTTTTTTGCCCCACCTCTTGGTCTGGAGAGTGTTTTTCAGGCAGAAGCTTCTAAATTTCTTTCCTCCCTCCCTCCCTCCCTCCCTCTCTTTCTCTCTTCCTTCCTTGTTTTTATAGAGAAATTGATTCCTTTGAAATTAGGGAAATATTATGAAAAAAGCAAGCTTCTAATTTTTAAGTTCTAATATAGACACTAGGCAAAGTGTCTTTCTTTCCTTCCTTCCTTCCTTCCACTCCTTCTCTCTTTCTTTCTTTCTTTCTTTTCTCTTTCCTTTCTCATCTTAAAATAGGGTCTCTTTTTTAAGAGATAGGGCAATCATAGCTCACGGCAGCCTTGAATTCCTAGGTTCCGCCTAGCATCCTCCTGCCTCGGCCTCCTGAGTAGCTGGGACTACAGGCAGAGACCACCATGCTGGGATAATTTTTTTATTTTTTAAATTTTTTGTAGAGATGTGGTTTCCTATGTTGCCCAGGATGGGAGAAATTTTTTTGATTGTAAGGCTTGTGTCTTGTTTTCCTTCTCCCAGGGATTACAGCTCTCTGCTTCCTTTTGTCTAATAACTGTTCTGTATATGGAGCCCAGTGTTTTAGCCTAGTACCATTTACTAGAACATGGCTGGAAAGTGATCCTGTTGGAGCAAAGAGGAGGTGCAGGTTGAAGAGGTTATGCACTAAGAGCTAATTCACTTAAATAAACCATGTTTTAAATAGCTTTGGAAAGCCATAAAGCATCGCTAGTATAGGACATAGTTAGAGAGCAGTAATTTTACTTTCTTTTAATAATTTCAGATATAATCTAACATATAATCAACTTACTAAAACCTTTTTAATATTTTAAATTTTTTCCAGCCCCCTGGTGTCTCTGTTCCCCTAAAAGTACAGATGGCTAGAATAATAAGCTGTTTACTGTCCACAGAAAACTAGAACCAAATAAAAGGGGTTTTGACAGTTTCTTTGCCAAAATACAAAATGATCTGATCATTTGTCAACACTAAGTATTACGACTGATTGACTCCCAAGCAGATGTACAGAATTACACTCACATTAGCATTGTATAAGAGATTACATTTTCCCACATTCTTACCACACTTAGTGTCATTGGACTTTTTAGTTTTTCCCAATTTGGTAAAGTTAGCACAAGGAGATCATGAAGACAAGAAAAGATGTATAAGAATAGAAGATAAACTTTGCATTAGTAGGAGGATAAATTATAGTAGAATGTCATGTAGCAGTTAAAGTAAATTAATTGCTCCTACCAGTTTTAATAAATCAAAATATTAGGCCTAATCCTGAGCCATGAAGAAAGTTGCAAAAGGGCACATATAGCATAAGGACATTTTTTTAAAGAGTTTTAAAACATACAAGATAGTACCTATTTATAGAGCAGCAGCTACAAAACCCAGTGGTCTCAGCACTGGCTGCTGATTAGGATCACCTGAGGAGATTTAAAACATACCCAACCCTGTGACTCACCTCTAGAGATTCTGATTAAGTTGAATTTAGAGTCACCATTTAAAGCAATTCAACTTACCAGTACAGAGCTTCCCAGGGGTGTCCAAGGGAGAGAATACAGTCATGGGTTCTTAGTTACTATTTCTGGTTGGGCCAGTAAAGCCCCTTCCTCATCCTTCTTTTCCACCTGTCACTAGAGACAGAAACTAAAAACCAAGGCGTCAGGCTGCTAAAAGCCTAAAACAAAACAAAACAGAACAACAACAACAAACTAAGGCAGGATGGACGAGCTTGCTCATTCAATGATGCAAAGTACATCTCTGTATACCACACATATATAGTTTATCTTTTATCTTCCTTTTGGAGTCCATATTCAGACAAACTTTTCATAGGAACCGCCTTTACTTTAATTTCCATTGGCTAATTGTGTAAATTTGACAAAATTACTTAATTTTGGCATTGCATTTTTTCTTCTTCTGTAAAACGAAGATAATAATCACACTACCCTTTTCAGGGCTATTATGAGTATCAAATTAAGTTATATATGTGAGTAAAATGGAAAGCAATTCACAAATGTTAATTATTATGAGTCTCCCTGCTCAACATTACCATATGCTGCTTGAATTACATCTGCGTATGCTTGTGTGTGCTGAATTGTTGTAATTTCCTGTCTATTTTTATGTGTATACTTATATAACCTAAATCCCAATTCAATTAAGACTTTTTGGGGGCAAGAAACAAGATTTATACTTCTTTAGTATACCTTATTTTCCCTATTTCTCTGATTAGAAGCAAAAAACATTGAATTGAATATATTAACAGAAACATAGTGCATAATTTTAAAAAATTTTCTTTGTTACAGTAGCTATTAACTTTGGCAAGTATACTGTACACACACATTATATATATACACACTATACACACATACATATACATATATGTATATATGTGTGTATATTATACATATTATTATATTATAAACATATATACGTGTGTGTATATATACACGCACACACCTGTAGAACATATGGCAGGAGGATTTTTTTTACATATTAACCTTTGATTCTTTTCCTCTCCGAATGTCTCCTTTTCCTACCATTTTCAATCAGATAACTTGGCTCATTGGTACTTGCTGCATTGTGTGAGGGGAGGGATGTATCAGGATCAAAAGCAGAAATGACCTATCGGTCTTTTTTACTTTCATCTCTAAAAGCCTAATTTCAGAGCAGCCTAATTTCAGAGCAGGCAAAAGGATTTGATGTATGGACAGAAAGTCTTGCCAGAAACTGTGGAGAGCACAGAATGTTCCATTCTCCAGGCAAGAGAAAGATTCACCCAGGCTTAGGGAAAAAAAAAAAAAGGAATAGAAAGGAAGATGGTGCTGGGAGGTGGCAAGATCCCAGAGAAGGAGGTGGGAGGGGCATGTAGTCATGTGGGCAAAACTGAGAAGATTTTCGCATCCCAAACATGACTCAGGAAAGGGAGACGGCATCTGGACCTGAAGGAGCTGTTGTGTTGGGATGGGGACATTCTCCATGGCAACTCGTGTGGACAGGTGGCCAAGGAAGGCATTTTCCTATAACTCCCCATGCCTTGTCCCTGTATGGGACTCTGAAACCATGCACAACTCTGGCCATCATGGTGCAGCAGAGGCTAATAAAGACTGAAGTCAGCATTTCTTAACAACTTAGTAGCCAAATGGGAATTAAATGGTTCAAGAAATCAAAGAAAATTCTGTTTCTTGCATATTTGGGAATATGAGCTGTGATTCATACTCACCACATTTATGCATATACATATTCTTGAACGGCTATTTATATTTCACATTTTTGTTTACACACACACACACACACACGCCATACAACTCAGGGTTTCCTGCCAGAAAGCACATTTATTTGTATTTTTCTCTTTTCTAGAAAGAGGTGTGTCCAAGAATCACCTTGGAATCCCTGTAGTAGCCTCACTATTGGGAAGGCACTTCCATATTACCATGGAGTCACCAGTACGAGGAAAACGCCACCTCGAGATATTTCAGAAAGGCAACAGCCCTGAGTGAAGAGAGCATATATAACACCCTCAAAGAAACTCAGACATATTATGTCAACCACATAATCTGTTACTAAATGGCAATGCTATATTAATATTAACATGTTTCCATTGCTGGTAAGGTTTTCCTGATAGGAGAGTTGACATACAGTTTTATGGTAGATTAAGAATAATAAAACCAATGTTATCTTATTAACAATGACAAACTGACATGAAGACAACAGCGGCTAGTGATTTCCACTGCAAGGCACAGCTGGGCTGTTTTTAATGACTCTTAAAAAGAAGGTGATCCAGAATTCCTGGCGTGTAGCCTGGAGCATACATCCTCAGAGATGTGGGCTTTTCGTTCCCGTGAGAAAGAAGATAAAAATTGGGAAATAATTGAGGACACTCGCTGAAAAAGAAAGCTGCTTGAAATGTGGAATTGCATCTTACTCACCATCGTGTTCTTCCCCTTTGCCCTTCTTCCTGTCTGTAGTGCAACTGAGATATCTATTAATAGAGACACCAGTCTGTGCTGCAGCAGCAGTCTTCCAACCGTGGAGACAAATGCTACCTGGTAAAGAAAGCAGAGTTAGAGAAGTGTCTGTTCATATCCTTCGCCCACTTTTTGATGGGGTTGTTTGTTTTTTTCTTGTAAATTTGTTTGAGTTCATTGTAGATTCTGGATATTAGCCCGGGTGGTGGGAGGGGGGAGGGATAGCATTAGGAGATATACCTAATGCTAAATGACGAGTTAATGGGTGCAGCACACCAACATGGCACATGTATACATATGTAACAAACCTGCATGTTGTGCACATGTACCCTAAAACTTAAAGTATAATAATAAAAACTATGAGTCCATAATGTTACAAATAAATGATTGAATAAATATATAAATGGAGAAAAAAAAAAAAGAAAGTAGAGTTAGAAGACAGAAGGGGCCTGAGTTCTTCATAACTCCCTTAGGCAGTTGACAATTGCCTATGACTGCCCAACTCCAGATTTCTTGTTACAAGAAGAAAATAATCTCCTTCTGTCTTAAGTCACTGTGGTTGGGTTTTCTGTTCCTTGCAACCGAATGCCTCCCTAATCAAATTTACGTGCAGAGCTATGATTGCCTAATATAAGAAACATTATATACACAGGGCAGGATTTATTGGTAATAATAGCGAAGGTAAATCCACATTTTAGAAAGTTTTCTTGGAAATTTGGAAGATTTCTGGCTAAGCCCCTGTCAAATCAGATTGGACTCTCACTGCTTTTACTCACAGTGGGGCTGTGTAAGAGCTCAGGACTGGAGCTGAGGTGCCAGTTCTGGTACAGTCATGCTGTTCTTTTATGCTTGCCATATTAGTATTATTTTCAGTCCAGGGGATTTTTTTTTTTTTGAAGAAACCTTTTAAGTCACTGTTTAATCTTATGAGAGTTACTTTAATTAAAATATTATAATGTACATGTCCACATAATCAGCAATATAAAGTGCAAAAGGCACATCTAATCTGAAAGCAAACATACAAGGGAGAACCCCAGTTTTCCCAACCTCCCTTCCCCAGTAAACATGAACATCTTCCACTTCCTTAGGGGCCAGCAGGCTTGCTCTGTGTATTATACAAACTGAGCAAAAGCTACACTATTAGTCTAGATACTAAATAGTAACAGAGCTCAACTTACTTACTTCAAGAATTAAAACAGAGTATAGTGAATTTGATATTCTACAGGGCTAGTCTAAATTTTCTGTTATAATATAGCTAGATTTTAGATAAATTGCTCCCCTTCCAAATTATTTTTCACCCACTGCTAGGCTTGTGAGAGAGTCTGAGAAATTTTCAAGAAACCAGAGTTCTCACATCTTATAAAAGATATTAACTCAACATGGATCCTGAACTTAAATATACAACATAAAACTATGAAATTTTTGGAAACATAGGAGAAAAATCTTTAGGATGTAGGACAAGGCAAAGAGTTCTGAGGCTTGACAACAAAGGCATGATCCATGAGATGAAATACGAAAACATGTATTTAATCAAGAGTAAAAACTTTTGCTCTGCAAAAGACCTGATTATGCGGATAAAAAGGTGAGCTGAAGACTGGGAGAAAATATTTGCAAGCCATATATCTGATAAAGGACAAGAATCTGGAATATATAAAGAACTCTCAAAACCAAACAATCCAATTTGAGAATGGTCAAAAGATGTGAAGAGCTATTTCACTAAAGAGAATACACAGATGGAAAATGTACACATGAAAAAACGTTCAACATCAATGAGAACACTTGGACACAGGAAGGGGGACATCACACACCGGGGCCTGTTGTGGGGTGGGGGGAGGGGGGAGGGATAGCATTAGGAGATATACCTAATGCTAAATGATGAGTTAATGGGTACAGCACACCAACATGGCACATGTATACATATGTAATAAACCTGCACGTTGTGCACACGTACCCTAGAACTTAAAGTATAATAATAATAAAAGAGATATAATAACAAAAAAAGAAAAAAATAACTTACCATTTAATATGTCATTACTTAGTCCTAATTGTTCAAACACGATGCTTTGATTGAAAAGATTACTGTATCCTTACCATTAAATAAGAATACAAACAATTCATATAATTCTGTTTTTTTTCAGAATAAATTCCCATATGTATACTTTTAATTGAGGAATAAACATATATAGTGATGGATAGAAAAAATGTTCAACATCATTAGCCATTAGGGAGATGCAAATTAAAACCAAAATGAAGAATAACTACACATCTATCAGAGTGGTTAAAATAAAAAACAATGACAACACAAAATGGTGGTGAGGATGAGAAGAAATTGGATTCCTCATACATCACTGGCGGAAATGTACAGCCACTCCAGAAAACAGTTTGGCAATTTAAAAAAAATAATGAAACATGTAATTGCCTTGTAACCCAGGAATTGTACTCCTGGGCATTTACCCAGAGAAATACATATTTATACCTGAATGCATACAGCAGCTTTACTTGTAACAGCCCCAAACTGGAAATAACCCAGATTTCTTTTGATTGACGAATGGTTAAACAAACCATGATACATCTACATCACGGAATAACACTAAGAAAGAATACACCATGGATACATGCAGCAATTTGGATGAATCTCCAGATAATTATACTGAATGAAAAAAGTCAGTCTCCGAAGATTACATACTGACTGATTCCTTTTATATAAAATTATTGAAATGACGACATCGCAGAAATGAAGAATAGATTAGTGCTAAGGGTGAAGGAGGGGATAAGGATGGAAGGAAGTGGATGTGACTATAAAAGGGCAATCTGTGGGATTCTTGTGATGTTGGAAATGTTTCGTATCTGACCGTATCAATGGCAACGTCTTAGTTGTGATGTTGTACTGTAGTTTTGCAAGACGTTATCATTGGGACAACCTGGGTAAAAGATACATGGGATGTCTCTGTATTATTTCTTACAACTGCATGTGAATCTACAATTATCTCAAAGTAAAAAGATTAAGTTTAAAAAGTAAACAAATAAAACAGTGCTTTGAAACCAAAAGATGAATGATAAGCAAACACTGCACAGTTATGGTCAACAGAGTACATGTGAAGTCCATGGCGAATGGGAGGTCTGGAACCAAGTGGAGTCTCTTGAATACCTCTGGAGTAAAGCATGCCCAGTTAGGCTTTCAGGATCCCCACAAATTAAGTTCAACCAAGTAAGAGCTCATAATAAAAAAAAATCACCAGGCTAGATGTGGTGGCTTATGCCTCCAATGCCAGCGCTTTGTGAGGCTGAGGTGATCTCTTGAGACCAGGAGTTTGAAACTGCAGTGAGCTATGATCATGCCACTGCACTCCAGTGTGGGCAGTAGAGCGACACCCTGCCTCTGAAAAAATAAAAATTTACCAAAGGCACAAGGAAACACCTCACCATAAAGCAGAGCCAATAGGTAACATAAATTTTAGTGTAAGACCCCCCAAGGACATCACATATTTTACTTTCTGATGCAGAGTGTAAAATAGCTACATAAGGAATGATTAAACTTGATAAAGGATGAAAATTAAAAATAATGAATCAGAATGCAAAACAGCTATGTAGACTAGAAAATGAAATAGAATTTATAGAAGTAAAAAATTGCAATTGTTGAAGTTAAAACCTCATGGGTCAATGCCTCTATTCTGCATGGTTTGAAGGCCTAGCCAGAAAAATCAGGTAAGAAAAAGTAATAGAAGGCCAGGCACAGTGGCTCACACCTGTAATCCCAGCACTTTGGGAGGCTGAGGCGGGTGGACCACAAGGTCAGGAGTTCGAGACCAGCCTGGCCAACATAGTGAAACCCCATCTCTACTAAAAAATACAAAAATTAGCCGGGCATGGTGGTGCACGCCTGTAGTCCCAGCCACTGGGGAGGCTGAGGCAGGAGAATCTTTTGAACCCAGGAGGTGGAGGTTGTAGTGAGCCAAGATAGTGCCACTACACTCCAGCCTGGGCAACAGAGTGAGACTCCATCTCAAAAAAAAAAGAAGGAAAGAAAAGAGAAAAAGAAGAAATAAAAAGTAATAGAAGATATAAGCATTGGGATAGAAGGAACAAAATTCATTATTTACAGGTGATATGACTGTCTACATAGAAAACTCAAGAGAACTTACAGAAAAATATTGTCAGAATTAATGAGAGTTTATCAAAGTGGCTAGAATAGAGAACAATATGCAAAAATCAAATGCACTTTTATAAACCAGCAATAAATTTAAAAAGTCATTATCAAAAAGGTATACTTGAAATAGAAACAAAATATAAATTATCTAGGAATAAATGTAACAAAAGGTGTTTAGGACTTTTATACAGAAAACTGTTAAATCTTATTGGAAAAAAAGAGTGAAATAGAGAGTGATACAATGTTCATGGATAAAAAGACTCAATATCAACTGTTTTGTACCATCTCTCTCCTCCTCCACTGATGCCCTTGCATTTCTATTTCACTGGAAAGAATGCAGAAGTAAGAAAAGAACTTCTACTACAACACATAAATATTAAAACTCCAACTAATGGAACTATATATAAAAGCTGTCACATATTTTTTGTTGAATGTAACATTTGAGCTTCTTTCTGTCAGAGGCAATGGTGTCCACTTTGGATACAGCTTCCTCTGTAATTCTTTAGCCTTGTCTTCAGGCCAGGCCAGTTGTAGCTGACCAGTCTGTGGGCAGAGAAGAAAGCATTTTCTATGATTGCTCAATGTAGGACCTGGCCTCACATACTTTCTTCCTTTCATCCACAGACATCAAGACAGATATGTGTGTTTGGACTTGGACTGCCACCTTGCAGAGGGAGCTATGACACACTTTCCTCTGTATTTCTTAACCCTTACAGCTTTGCCATTGCTATTTTCTCAGGTCCATCATGACTAATCTTTGATGACCTTTATGTATGTTTACTTCAGTTTCCATCAGAGGCCTGAGACTCCCACATCACCCCTCATTTCCCTTGCTTAAATGCTCACATAGCTCAGCACATTCTTTTATGTCTACCTCCCATTCCTCCACAACAGATGCAACCCTGGCACTGTGTCCTCTGAAACTCATGCAGCAAAATCCTTTATATTTTACATCTCTTCTCTGAACATTTTTCACTTTCTTGCTCTAAGGAAACCTGGATTCCCCCTGAGGACCCTGTTTTTCCTGCAGTCCTTTAAGTGGCGGCTATTTTCTCTCCTACAGCCCTTTAATTCCTGGGTCTGGAGATGGCCTGGGTGTCTTTCTTACTATTCATTTTTCTCTCAGACCATTCTCCCTTCTTCTCCCTCCCTAAAATATTGCAGCTTTGAATATCCTATCTTGTCCCTATCCTATCTTGACCTTGACTTCATGGTCATAGTCATTTAGTGACCTCAAGGGTAACCCTATTGACCTCAAGGGTAACCCTATCTTATTTCTTATTAATTTTAACTCTGGGTTTTCTGTTATTCTATCCAACATTACCCTTGTCTTAATTTCTAATGATTTAAATATGCATGTAGGTAATATGTTTTACACTCTGAACTCTCACTTTCTTGACCTACTCTCCTTCAGTGGCTTTGTCCTTCATCCAATCTTGTCTGTTCATTCCTAAGGACATAGCTTAGACCTTGTCATTACCAGTAGCTCCAGCTCTAACATTTCTGGCTCTCTGACTTCAGGCACATGGTGGAATTAAAGTTTCCCCCACTGAAGTCAGTCCTGGCCATGAGACTTTTCTTGGCCAGTGAAATGGACAAAAAAAACAGCTTTAAGATGCAGAGCCTTTACCTCACTTCCTCTTGCCACGATGACCAGCAACATTTGAGGTAATAGCTGTGCTGTCAGTCTGGGACCATGAGTGTTCATTAGTGATGAATAGTGTCCTTGTGCTAACCTGGTTGGACTTGTACCCTGAACAAGAAATAAACCTTTGTTATTCAAAGTTACTGAGAATTTGGGGTTGTTTATTGCTGTAGCATTGTGTGCTTGCTTCCCTTTCTCTGACCATTTTTCCTATCTTTCCATATAAATTTCTTTAGTATCCAGATCCCAACAAACCTCTGAATGTCAAGAAACTGAAACTGATACATGTGAATTCTCTTTGCATTTTTTTTTATAAATCCAAAGCTATTCTAAAATAAAGAGTTTATTAAAATTAATGTAAGGAAGTAATGTTAGCAAGATGGTGGATTAGTAAGCTTCAGGCCCTTGTTTTCCCCAGAAACACTAAGAGAATAACAATAGCAACAAGAAGAACAAACTCCTAGAGACTGGCTAAAATAACCGTATAGAAGCTCTGAAAATTAGTCAAAGATCTATTGCAACCAATGGAATACTTAATGAAGAAAAAGCCACATTCAACACGGTAGAAAATTTCATGGCTTTTTTTTTTTTTTTTTTTTTTAAGACAGAGTATCGCTCTGTCTCCCAGGCTGGAGTGCAGTGGCACGATCTCGGCTCACTGCAACCTCTGCCTCCCAGGTTCAAGCGATTCTCCTGCCTCAGCCTCCCGAGTAGCTGGGATTATAGGCGTGCACCACCATGCCTAGCTAATTTTTGGATTTTTAGTAGAGACCGGGTTTCAACATGTTGGTCAGGCTCCTGACCTCATGATCCGCCCACCTTGGCCTCCCAAAGTTCTGGGATTACAGGTGTGAGCCATCGCGCCCAGCCGAAGACTATTATTTTAAGTGAAGTAACTGAGGAATGGAAAACCAAACATCGTATGTTCTCACTTGTAAGTGGGAGCTAAACTATGAGAATGCAAAGGCATGAGAATGACACAATAGACTTTGGGGACTCAGGGAAAAAGGGTAGGAAGAAAGTGAGGGATAAAAAGATTACAAATCGAGTTCTGTTTATGCTGCTTGGGTGGCGGGTGCACCAAAATCTCACAAATTACTGCTAAAGAACTTACTTATGTAACCAAATACCACCTGTTCCCCCAAAAAACTGTGGAAATAAAAAATAATAATAATTGTTTCACTATTAAAAAAAGTTCTCTCTTCTAGTTACTTTTTATTTTTTTTGACAGAGTCTCACACTGTAGCCCAGGCTGGAGTGTAGTGGTGTGATTTTGGCCTCCCAGATTCAAGCAATCCTCATGCCTCAGCCTCCCGAGTTGCTGGGATAACAGATGCATGCCAACACGTATGGTACTTTTTGAATATTTTGTAGAGATGGGGTTTTGCCTTGTTGCCCAGGCTGGTCTTGAACTCTTGAGCTCAAGTAATCTGTCTACCTCAGCTTCCCAAAGTGCTGGGATTATAGGCATGAGCCACTGGGCCTGGCCTCTTCTAGTTACTTTGAAATATATAATAATTCATTACCAACTATAGTCAGCCGACTCTGCTATGGAACATTAGAACTTATACCTTCCATCTAACTGTATGTTTGTACCCATTGACCAACCTCTTTTCAGCCCCACTCCCACTCACATACTCTTCTCAGTGTCTGGTATCTATCATTCTTCTCTCTACCTTCATGAAGTCAACTTTTTTAGTTGAGTAAGTACATGTGAATTTGTCTTTTTGTGTCTGATTTGTTTCAGTTAACATAATGACCTCAAGTTTCATTCATGTTGCTGCAAAATACATGACTTTATTCTTTTTAGTATTCCATTGTGTATATAAACCATATTTTCTTCATCCATTCATCCTTTGGTTCTATTTCTTGGCTACTCTGAATTGTGCTGCAATAAACATGTGAGTGCGGCTATCCCTTTAACATACTGATTACTTTTCCTTTGGATAGGGGCCCAGTGGATTGTATGGTAGTTCTATTTTTAGTTTTTTGAGAAAACGCCATACTGTTTTCCATAGTGGTTGTAGTAACTTATATTCCACACCAACAGTTTAAAAGAATTTCCTTTTCTCTGTATCCTTGCCAGCATCTGTTATTTTTTGTCTTTTTAGTAATAGCCATTTTAACTGGAATAAGATAATATTTCATAATAGCTTTAATTTGCATTTCCCTGATGATTAGTGATTTGAGCATTTTTTTTCATATATCTGTAGGCCATTTGTGTGTCTTCTTTTGAGAAATGTTTATTGATGACCTTTGCTCACTTTTTAATAGGGTTATTTGTTTTTTGTTTTGTTTTGCTTTTGTTTTTTATTGTTGAGTTGTTTGAGTTTCTTATATATTCTGGATGCTAGTCCCTTGCTGGATGAATAATTTGCAAATGTTTTCTCTGATTCAATCGGTTGACTCTTTACTCTATTGACTGTTTCCTTTGCTGTGCAGAAGCTTTTTAGTTTAAAATAGTCTCATTTGTCTATTTTTGTTTTCATTGTGCTTTTGAATTCTTAGCCATAAAATATTTGCCTAGACCAATGTCCTAATGTGTTTTCTCTCTGTTTTCTTCTAGTAGTTTTGCAGGTTTTAGTCTTACATTTAAGTTTTTAATTTATTTAGAGTTGATTTTTGCATATACTGAGACAGAGGGGCCCAATTTTATTCATCTGCATATAGATATTCAATTTTCCCATCACCATTTATTGAAGAGGGTGTTCTTTCCCCAATGCATGTTCTTGGCACCTTTGTCAAAAACCAGTTGGCTGTAAATTTGTGGATTTATTTCTGAACTCTCTATTCTATCCATTGGTCAATGCTTTGTTTTTATACCAATATCATGCTGTTTTGGTTACTATTGCCTTGTAATATATTTTGAGGCACACAGTGTAATGCCTCCAGCTTTGTTCTTTTTGTTCAGAATGGTTTTGACTAGTCTGGATATTTTTTTGTTCTGTATAAATTTTAGGATTGTTTTTCTGTTTCTGTGAGAAATGATGTTAGTATTTTGATAGAGATTACATTGAATCTGTAGAGTGCTTTGGGCAGTATGGTCATTTTAATAATATTAATTCTTCTGATCCATGAGCATGGGATGTCTTTCTATTTGTGTCCTCTTCCATTTCTTTCATCAGTTTTTGTAATTTTGCTTGTAGAGATCTGAAAGTACCTCATTTATAGAGGAAAATGTTCTCCAAGTTCAATGAATCCCAGGATACATATGAGTATATTTTCAAATGAACCTAGTCTCAATGTGTATATAATACATGATAAGCATGTTGCAATTATCTCTTGGGGAAACAAAAATATCTAATTAGGTTGGCAGGTACCCAGAATTGGTGTCTTCTGAATTGGCCAGTGATAGTTAATGGATCCGACGCATCTTGAAACACTTATTTGGCATATGTGGAATCATCATAGTCTCAGAAATGATTATTGGCTTTGTTCTGATGGCTTTCAATTCCATATTCGTTTCAACTCCTCTATCAGAACACATATTTATTTATCTTTTCTGCATGTGTTCCCAGAATATTCTGTTTAGCAAAGAAGGAATATCAATAAATCCCTCTGTTTTAGTGAGTTTACCAAAGAGCAAAATAGCTGGTCTATTGGCCAAAAATTGTTGGTGTGATTTATTTTTGTAGTTATTTTCAAGCATATTTTGCAGGGGTTGATTTCCAATTGTAAAAAAGTCTCGATTTTGAGTTAGCCATGAACTTGTGAACCCACATTACATAAAATCCTTGTATTTATACCAAGCTTTGAAATTTCCTAAGAATTTCCATATGCATTTTTGCATTTAATTCAATAATAAATACTGTGTGGCTATTGTTGATGCCTTTTTACAGAAAAAGCAATGAATATGCTTTTGAAAAAAATTTTCTCTGACTCTTGAAAATGTGCTAGAACTTTCAAAATGTGTGAAATAAATTATACTAGCATTTCATCACACTCACAACACAGAACATTTCTGATCACTGAAATAAGGAGAGTGTGTTTTTCCCCACCAAGGCATTCTCCAGTTTTCTGTGAACACTGACTGGGTGTCCTGCGATTCAGTTCAGTTCTGACACTAACCAGAGTTACTGCAGACCCCACAGGTTAAGGGCTCAGTCCCACAAGGCTGCCCGTCACTTCAGAAACCAATCTTAAATCCCATGTTATCACCTTTACTTCTGACTGATAGCTACAAATCAGGGTTCCCACGACCCTTCTTTGGGTTCAATAATTTGCTAAGAAGGCTCACAGAACACAGGGAAACACTTGTTTACATTTATTGGCTTATTATTTACTAAAGAATACAAATGATAGAGACAGATAAAGAAGTACATAGGGTAAGGTATGTGGGAGGGGTGCAGACCTTCCATGGCCTTTCCTGGTTTACCACCCTCCCAGCACCTTCACGTGTTCACCAACCTAGAAGCTCTCCAAACCCCATAGTTCAGGGATTACTACGAAGGCTGCATCATGTAGTCATGATCAGTTATTAACTCAGTCTCCAGCTCCTCTCCCTTTTCTGGAGAAAGAAACGGAGGGAAAAAAAAGAGGATGAGAGGGTGGGACTGAAAGTTTCAAGCTTCTAATCATGGCTTGGTTTGTCTAGTCACCAGCCCTCATGCAGAAGCCCAGGAAAAGTCATCTCATTAGATCAAAAGATGCTCCTACCCCCCAGGAAATTCTGAGAAACTGGGAGCTCTGTGTCAGGAACTAGAGGCAGAGACTATATATATACATATATGTGTGTGTGTGTGTGTGTGTGTGTGTGTGTGTGCTTTTCATGGGTTGCACACACCTCCAGCTGGACCAGATCTGGGGGTCATAGAGCTGTTCAAAGTTTGAATAATTCAGGCTATTTCAGGTCAGCTTTGTAAATCAGGTCAGTTTAGTGATTTAAGTTCCTCAAAAGTTTAAGCTTTTCACCTATCTGGCTTCAGTTGGTTTCTTGTGCAAACAACCACTATTGAATATCTGTCTAGACAAAGTGTTTAACCTAAAGACTGAATGAGCAGCCTCTATCTATGGCCATCCCACTCTGAACATGCCTGATCTAGTCTGAATTACCAGCCTCTGTGCTCTACCCACCTACCTCTCTTTCAACTCCACGGTGGCTCCCTTGAGGCCATCTGATGCATAGGGTTAAGTGGAAAGACAAAAACCTTAATTTGACTTTGCTGCTGGAGAGGCTCCTGTTGTCCAGCAGAGATAACCTAAAGGAAGTTGCTTAAAAAAGACATGTGGCCACAGGCTGTCACTTTGAAGTCACTGCTTATAATAACATTAGTTTGGGCTGCAGAAGCAGTTGACGTTTTCAGCTGAGGAGGTCTAAATGGCTCTCAGTGAATTTAGATTGCAAAACACAGGCATAAAAAGCCTCACTTTCATCTCTGCCTGTAGATAAACTAGCTATAATTGGACTTAGTTTCTCTCTTATAGGACTTTGTTGAAGGTAGTCAGAAGTGACAACACAAATAAGTATTCTAGACCTCTTACGGGTAATGCCCTTGGCTGGGATGTGGTATAACCTCATAATACTTCACATCACAGCAGGGCTAAAACCGAGGTAATATGTGAAATACTCACCTCAGGTGCAAAATTTAAAGGGGCACAGAGAATGTCTCAGTAATCAAGATAAATAATATTTTAATGTGATTTTTTTTAAAATAAAAATTAATGCAAAAATATGATGAATATCAAAATTTTAAATAAAAACAGTATCAGTGTTGTTGATTTTTCCTTTTGCCTTTGGCTCCAAGGTGCTTTGGCATGGCATTGCTCACAGTTGATGGTTTTGCTAACTATTTTGCAATTGAAATAATAGGAGTCACCAACTTTCCAAACTGCGATATTGAGTCCTCACTGCCTTTTGCTTCACAGCAAAAGTTTATTGAAATAAGCTATCTTCAGAATCCCATTCCTGGTGCTACATGATATATTAGAATTAGGTTCAGTTACACAGGCCAGAAAATCCAAAGTAGTAGGATCTTAAGCAAGATAGAAGTTTATTTCCCTTTCAGGTAAATGTAGGCAGGCCAAGGTTGCTGTTGCAGCTCCATGATTAGCAGGGATCCGGGTTCCTTCTCTCCTAATTCTCCATTATGCTCAATATGTGGCTGCCACCTTATGGTTCACAAATGTTGCTTTAGCTCCAACCATTACATCTATAGTCTAGCCAGCATGAAGATACAAAGTGGAAAAGAGGCAAAGCGCACCCACACTCACACCATCATTGTCTCTAAGGAAAGCTCCTACAAACTCTATATAACACACGCTCCCATTCCGTCTACCAGAACTATCAAAGCTAAGTCTAGCTGCAAAAGAGGCTGGAAAATGCAGTCTTTGTTCTGGGTGGCCATGTGCTCAGCTAAAAATGCTGAAATTAGTATGGAGAAAAGGAGATCAGATACTGTAGACAGCCAGCAGTCTCTTGGAAATCATGAAGGATTTGGTTGTATCCATTGCGTCAGCTTTGACGGGGCTCCTACACAAAAGATCTACCCCTATGCTGGTCAAGCAATCACTGTCACTCCCAAATGTGTCATCACACTGTGCTTTGACCACAGTTTCCGTTTGTTAGCTCTGATTTAGATATATTAAGATCTACTATTGGCTACATTATTAAACCCATGAGGTGAGAAAGAGATTTTGAAATATTAACAGATACTTGTTTTCCTCTCTATATATCTTCCTACCTATCAGCTAGCTACTCTTTTTTTTTTTTTTTTTTTTTTTTTTTTTGAGACAGTGTCTCACTCTGTTGCCAGGCTGGAGTGCAGTGGTGCAATCTTGGCTCACTGCAACCTCCGCCTCCCGGGTTCAAGTGATTCTCCTGCCTCTGCCTCCCAGGTAGCTGGGACTACAGCTGCCCGCCACAGGCCTGGCTAATTTTTTGTATTTTTAGTAGAGACGGGGTTTCACCATGTTGGCCAGGATGGTCTCGATATCTTGACCTCATGATCCACCTGCCTCGGCCTCCCAATCGTTTTTATTTTCTTACTTTAGAGAAGGGATAAAATAGTAGAATGCAAAAGACAAGAAAATAATTCTTGCCTTTTGGATTTCAAAACCATCAAAGACTCATGATCCATTTGGAAGACTATATCACCAGCCAGAGCTAGACTCCCCCCAATAGCTCCTCCCCATTTAGGCCTAGATACATATTCCTGGACCGAGGGAAGGAGAAGAGTCAGAGAGGAAGCCAGAGGATTAGATGCTGCTGTGAGTCCCCAAGAAGGGGCAGTATTGGTGGTTGGAGAGATGGAGATGGAATTACCTGGATAAGTTTAGGGTCTAAGAACAGGGGACACTTGTGTTCCTAACCCCCATGGAAGAGCCCAGAGGGCCTAAAATAGGCCTGCCATGTCAGGTTTCTGAGACGAAGAGATATTTGTATGGCATGTCCAGTGCATTCATCAGGTTATATATATATTTATATATGAGATTTATGCAGAATTGGCTCACTTGATTATGGAGGCTGAGAAGTTCCACAATCTGCTATCTGCAAGCTGGAGACCTAAGACAGCCAGTAGTATAAATTCTAGTCCAAGTCCAGAGGCCTTAGAAGCAGGTGAGCTGATAGTGCAAGTTTCTGTCTGAGGGAAGAAGGGTGATATCCTAGCTCAAGCAAGCACGCAAAGAGGAAATTCTCCCTTCCTCTGCCGTTTTGCTCTATGCAGGCCCTCCATGGAATGGATGATGCCCACCCACCTTGGGGAGGACCATCTGCTTCACTCAGTCTACTGACTCAAATGTTAATTTCTCCCAGAAACACCCTTACAGACACACCCAAAATAATGTTTAACCAGATATCTAGGCACCCTGTGATCCAGTGAAGTTGACACATAAAACTAACCATCATACCCAGACCAAAGAGTCTGTGTTTCCTGCATACAGACTTTCTATTCTAAGTGCTGACAAGGTGCTGTGGAAGAGTTTGATCAGGGAGAGACAGAATGTGATGGACATTTAAAAATAGCACTGATGGTAGAAGCCTGAGCATGTTTAAATACTGCTGGGAAAGTCCATCCAGAGGAAGAGCTGAAAACCAAAGAAAGAAGGGGTAACTGAAATAGATGCGACAGTCTGGGAAGGGGATTAGAACCTAGAAAGGGGGCCGGGCGCGGTGGCTCATGCCTGTAATCACAGCACTTTGGAAGGCTGAGGCGGACAGATCATCTGAGATCAGGAGTTTGAGACCAGCCTGACTAACAGGGTGAAACCCTTTCTCTACTAAAAATACAAAAATTAGCTGGGCGTAGTGGCAGGTGCCTGTAATCCCAGCTACTTGGGAGGCTGAGGCAGGAGAATCGTTTGAACCTGGGAGGCAGAGGTTGCAGTGAGCCGGGATTGCACCAATGCACTCCAGCCTGGGTAACAGAGCGAGACTCCATCTGAAAAAAAAAAAAAAAGAAAAGAAAGAAAAAAAAAAGAAAAGAACCTAGAAAGGGGGTTAGTCTTGGGCAGAACTTGGAATCAGCCTTTCACTGTGATGAGAGGGTGACAGAAAGAATGGGGCAGTAAATCCATAAGTGGGGTGGCAGGAGTTAGGTGAATTCCCTGAGGAAGGGTATGCTGAGCAGAAGACAGAAGCTTTTGAGGAGGATGGAGAAGTTTGGAAATGACCAGTATGGAAAATGGGGGAGTGATGGCCAACTGCACACTAGAGTTTGGCAGGCCCAGGAAGAACTGAAGGAGGTGAGCATGAGAGGATGTGGTTGTCCCCACCAGGCTCTGTGGCCAGGGACAGGTGTTGAGGAGGCAGACACTGCAATTATTGGAGAGTTGGTGTCTGTGGCAGGTGTGAAGGAAGCGCAGAGTAGAACCCTGGTCCTCCAACTTGGCTGCATATGGGAATCACCTGGGGAACTTAAAAGATATACTGAGGCTTCAATCCCAATACAGACATTCAGCTTTAACTGGTCTGGGGTCCAAGTTTGAGGAGAACTGGGGTAGGGGATACTGGCAAATATGGCTGAAATTGATGGACCATGTCTGAGCTAGGGCAGGAGGGGTAGGCAAGGGTGCAAGAAGGCAGGAAATAGAGGGGCTGAGAGTGGAGGTCTCAATCAATGGGAAAAGAGTTTTCCTGCGATGCGATGTCCCAGAAATGCAACTGTAGTTACACCCTCAACTTCAGAGCTAAATTCTCCCAGGTATCTTCCATGTTTACCTGTGTAGACCTAAGGACAGGCTCCATTTGCATTCCAAATAGATCTCTTTCTCAGCAGTTTATGTGGATTTTGTGTGCTTTACTTTACATGACAGTACTAAACAAGCCAAGAGCAATTCAGATTTTAGACACGGACATCTCCTTCCACCTTCTGAGAGATGGTGAGTGCTGTGGACTGAATGTTGGTATCCACTCCTTGCCCCGTTCTTATGTTGAATTCTAATCCCCAATGTGTTGGTATTTGGAGATGGGGCCTTTGTGGAGGTGATTCGGTCATGAGGGTGGAGTCCTCATGAATGGGATTGGTGCCCTTATGAAAGAGAGAGCTCTCTGGTCCTCTTTCCACCTTGTGAAGATACAATGGGAAGTCGGCAGTCTGCAACACAGAAGAGGGCCCCCACCAGAACATGATTATGCCGGCCCTCTGATCTTGGATTCCTAGTCTTCAGAACCGTGAGAAATAAATTTCTGTTGTTTATAAGCCACCCACTCTATAATACTTTGTTATGGACAGCACAAACTAAGATGGACAGACTCTCTTGGTGCCTTTGAGGGGATATGTTATTATCAGCAATGTTGTTTGAAGCAGTCTCTGATAAGGAATGCTGACCCACCAGGGACAAATAGCCCTATCTTAAGCAAACTCTCATCCCTATCTCCCTGCCTTAAACCCTTTTTCAGGTGCTGTGACAGCATCAATCAGGCCTTGGCAGGCGAGGGAGCCCTCTGAAGAAGCGGCCAGTGGACAAGCTGAAGACATGGTAGGTGGAACGTTTTTCATCACCCGCAGGGATGATATAAATTGTGTGGGCCTAGGGACAGCAGGTTTCAGATATGGCCATATTGTCTTTATTTATTATATGCTCCATTGATTAGAAATTGGATTCCAAACCCCTCAGGAAGTTGCCCTATTCCCTAGCTAGCTCTAGATCCAGCACTGCATGAGTGGTTCCACTGTGATAAAGCAGTAGTTCTCAAACTTGAGTGTTGTCTTACTCTGTTCAGGCTGCTATAACAAAAAATTGCCATTGACTGGGTGGCTTAAAAACTACAGAAATTTATTACTTACAGTTCTGGAGGCTGGAAAGTCCAAGAGCAAGGCACTGGCACATTTGATGTCTGGTGAGAGCCTGTTCCCTGGGTCATAGACGCACAGCTTGCTGCATCCTCACATGGTGGAAGAGGCAAGGGAGCTCTCTTGGGCCTCTTTTATGTGGGCAAATCCCATTCATGAAGGCAGAGCCTCCCAAAGGCCCCACCTCGTAATACCTCACATTGGGGATTAGGACTTAAACACAGGAATTTTGGAGAGATACAAATATTCAGTCCATAGCAAGCATGCATCAGAATCTTCTGTAGGGCTTGTTAGGGTATGGGTTACTGGACCCCAAACCCAGAGTGTCTGGTTTAGTAGGCCCAAGAATTTGCATTTCTAACAAGGCCTAGGGTGATGCTGATGCTGCTGGTCCAGAGACCACACTTTGAAAACCACTGCTGTTGAGAAAAAAAGTGGCATTCAAAGGATGGGGAAGCAGAGAATGGAACATCTTCCATTCAAGGGGCCATCTCAGGTGGCCCTCTACATCCCCAAATTAATCCATCAAACCGTTGCATCAGTGACAGCATAGTTTTACATGTCAATATGTGATACTGCAGTTTCTTAGTCTCTAAAGTTAAAGGCTTCCTGGTGGTGGTGACACGAGGACTAGGGGATTGCTGGGACAGGGCTAATGTGCACCTCACTCACAGCTAACCACTCATGAAGTGCCTCCATGGGCTGCACCCAGTCCTGGAGCCCTATGTATGTTATCTCTTTTATTCCTTACATGAAGCGGGTGGGGTTAAATCCCCATTTTGCAGTTAAGAAAACAGTGACACAAGCAGATGTAAGTAAGTAGAGTGTGTTTGCAGGTGAGTCCTGTATGCCTCTAGGCGTTGGCTTACTCTGGGAGGTGCTGCCCAGGATCTCTCAGCCAGTTAGTGGAGGAGTGGGCCTGCATGAGGCAGACTGACCCTGGCATCAGATCTCCTACCCATCTCCCCACCTGTGCTCACTCAGTTGCTGCCCCTTCACTCCCTTTTCTTCTGTAGAGACAAAGGGAAGAATCTGTCAGGAAAATTCCTGGGAGAGGGGGAGCTGTGCTTCTGAAGAAGGCAGTTGTTGCAATCCTAGTCTGCTTGCAACATGGTTGGTGGCACAGACCTTCCCACACCTCTATGCCAGATGTCTTAAGGATCAGCCCAAAGCTTAATGTCTCCAGGGATATCCACTTCCTTCCTAAGGGAAGATAGAGGTGCTTGAAAATGTAGGTTTTATTATTATTCAGGTATGGTGAGGCCAACAGACCAGGAGATGATGGCCATTGAAGAGATAGTTTATTACTCACAGTTCCCAGGAGGAGGGCGTACACTGGGCCACACAGGGAAGCATCAGGTCAGTCAGGAGGCAGAGGGAAAGGGGGAAGCTATGGGCAGAAGGCTTTATTGTGAGAAGGAACAGGTGAGGCAGGCTTAGGATTGGCTGGCTTGGAAAATTACAGCAGGCTCTGGGCCATAGAATTGCCTTAGTTGTCTGGTACCTGGCCCTGGAGTGACTGGGACTGGTAACTGGTGGCCTTGAGTGTGAGAGCCCAATAAAGGAGGTGGTTGGAGGTGTGGGCTCTGGATTGGTTGGCTTGAATGTGAAAGATGTGTTTGTAGGTGAATCCTGTACTGTCTGTGGGAACTGGCTAACTCTGGGAGGGGCTGTGTCTCTACCATCAGCCAGGCTCCAAGATGCCAAAATATCAAATACAGAATCTAGAACATTTGGCTATTCCAGAGAGCTCATGCAAAGATGGTATTAGGAGCTACTTTTCCAATCAACAGCCTCCAATACTGTTTTCTCTCCAGAATCATCTATCAGGGAAGAGACTTATAATCAGAAAGTAACAGAACAAAGAGGGCAGGCCACAGTTAGGTATAAGCAAGGGATTGGTCTTTCCTGGGGTGGACCTAAAGGGTCGCAGCTTTAAAAGCATCGATTGTTATTAGAGTGTTAACAGTAGCATCTCACGTGTGAAGGTAGGGAAGAACGAGACGAGGTCAGGGCCAAGACCCTGAAGGGGGCTGTGGACCCAGAGCATGTCTCATAAATCCCAAGTCAGATTCTGTTGACTCCTGGGACTTTCTGTTTGTTTCCCCCCTGATTTCTCCTTTTTTTCAGTTTACCCATGTGTCAGAAGCACCTGGGGAGCTCTTTGAAATTGCTGGGGCTGACCCCTGGCCACTGCTCTGCATCAGAATCCCCTGGAGGCTGGTGAAGCACGTTTCCAGGTGCCATACCCAGAATTTCTGATTCAAAAGGTCTGGGGTGGGGCCTGAGAATTAGAGCCTGTTCCTAACACGTTCCCAGGTGATGCTCATGCTGCTGGTCTGCAGCCCCTGGTCTGCGAGCCACTGACTAGGGATTCTAACTCAGTAGGTCTGGAGACGGTCCCAGGTGGTTCTGACCTGGTGGTATTCTGAAGTCCACACCTGGAGAAACACCGCCCTGAGACTGAATAAATTCTGTGATGAACATTCTCACTGTGCTGCTGCCGTGCAAGGGAGAACTGGCCGAAGAGTTATTTGGCCAGCTTGAGTGACGCGGATCCTGAGAGCGCTCCGGGGTAGGCAGTTGCCCCGGTTGGACACCTCGTCAGAGCAGCGCGTGGCAGGCCCCGGTGGAGGATCAATGCAGTGGCTGAACACCGGGAAGGAACTGGCACTTGGAGTCCGGACATCTGAAACTTGGTAAGACTGGTCTTTGGAACTTGCCCACTCCATTTGAGTGGAAGCGTGGCCTGATCACCCACGGCGTGCCTGTACTGGCACTTTGGTTTTTGTTTTTGACTTGACTTGAATTGCTTGATACTTTGGTTTTGGTTTTGACCTGGCTTGGATTTCTGGATACTCTGATTTTGGTTTTGATTCTGGTTTGGTGTAAACTGAAAAAGTGTGTGTGTGCCTTTTTTACCCGTTCTTTGTTTTGTGGTGTGAGTGTGGTGTGAGCTTGGTGTTTTGTCTCAGGGAAACATGGGTCAGACACAAAGTAAGCCTACAGCACCCGGTATTCCCAGGCGGTCTCCCATCCAAGTACTAACCAGGCCCGACCCTGCTTAGCTTCCGAGATCAGACGAGATCGGGGGCGTTCAGGGTGGTATGGCCGTAGACGTGGCTGGAAAAGGCCAGATGGGCCCCCCAAAGTGTGGGGCCTAGCCCAGGGGTCCCAGTTGCCTGGGCCTAGGAGTTTTTTCCGTGATGCAATATCATTCTGGGGTTTGTCACAATGTTAGAAACACAAAACTTGCCAGATCACCTGGCCTCATTTTGGGCTTGAAAAAAATGGGGTCGCCAAAGATAAAAAGAGTGTCCCCGAACTGTTAGCCCTCCTGAGGTTAGAACGCCTTAGCCCTACCCCCAATGCCCAGCACCGTGGTAACTGCTTTAGTTCCAGAAGTACAAAGTTTCAACATCCAAGGTATAAGGGTGACCCCTCTGTGAGACATTTACTCTTCTAAGAAAACTTAGTTCCTCACTCTTCAAAAGCTGCTTGGGAAAACTCAGGCAATGATGAAAGTGAGCACCAGCTTCAAACTTCAGCATGTCCCCAGGTTTCTCTCATTTGTCACATCAGCTAAAATATTACAGGGAATTTTTTTTTTCTTTGCGAGGAGAAAACTAACTTTGTTTTAGCCCTGTGATCTATAAATGCAAATAGTGGATTGGAGTCCATTTCCAGTGTAAAGAGAGTTGAGTGATACAAATGCTAAATGGAAAATCCACTTTCCAGTAGCTTTCTGTAGCCTGGACAAATGCATAATTTATTCTCAGATAGCTAGACTAGCAAACTCGCAACAGGGAGCGTCATGCCAGAATGCATTTGTGCAAGGAATCTGAATTTCAAAGGACGGCTTTGCCTGGAGAGACACCACCCAGAACAATGTGGGTTTAATTAAGGTTTAGAGCAGCGCTTTGTTCAGGTGGGGTTGATAGGAAGGCTCCAGGTAAGATTTTACTTGGTAATAGATTATTGACCAATGGCAGGCAAGGGTGGCTGGTTTGCCTATTTTACTATTCATGACCTTGGGACTGAAGGAATCAGAATGACAGTAGGCGATATCTCTGTCAGCCTGTTTCTGGAGGGAAAGGCAGTTTTGTGGGTGGATAAATAGACCTCATTTGTGTTGCCTTTTGCACCTGGACCTGATGTTCTGTTAAAGCCAAGTGTGAGAAATACTTCTCTGAAGCAAAGGGCACGCTTGGGTGAGATTAATTAACCTGAATACCAAAGATCTACTGTGGCACCAAGATAAGGAGCAGTGGGCAGACCCTGCCCAAACAGAAGCAGAGTGAAGTCCTGGAGGGCAGAGCTGTGCTCTGAGAAGGCAGTGCAGGCTCCTTAGCATGAGTCAGTCACCCTTGGTTTGCACCCAACCCAGAAAGGGGTCTTGAGGAATCCCAGCGCATCACAGCCAGCCACGGGTCAGACTGAGTCGGGACAATAACAGGATTCCAGGGTCGTGGGTGCGGGGCAGTACCTTACCTGCTTGCCTAGGTGGAAAGGATATCAGGAAGAGCTTTGCGGGGTGAGGCTTTCTGGAATAAATGGAGTCATAAAAGATGCTATCAGAAGAAAGGGATAAGGCAGAGGTGCAGCTTGGTAGGATGGGGTGCAAAGAAAAATCCATTTCTGCATTCCTTTTTCCACTGACATTTCCTTCCCAGCTGCCCCACCCACAACCACACACAAACAGAACAAAACAACTCCTGGGGCCCAGTGGTTACTCCCCATACCTTCCTCCTAAAATTGCTCTCCTTGGCTGGGCACGGTGGCTCACGCCTGTAATCCCAGTACTTTGGGAGGCCGAGGCGGGCAGATCACTTGAAGTCAGGAGTTCGAGACCAGCCTGGCCAACACAGTGAAACCCCGTTTCTACTAAAAATACAAAAAAATTAGTCGGGTGTGGTGGCGCAGGCCTGTAATCCCAGCTACTTGGGAGGCTGAGGCATGAGAATCGCTTGAACCTGGGAGGCGGAGGTTGCAGTGAGCCAAGATCGCACCACTGCACTCCAGCCTGGGCTACAGAGTAAGACTTCGTCTCTAAATAAATAAATAAATAAATAATTGCGCTCCAAGAAGTTTAACACCAGTAATTAAAACTTTGGGAAGATTTTAGTTTAGGTATTATCTCCCATTTTTAAGATATGGGTGTCTAGTTACCCCCGTATTATTATCAAAAGGACTGTTCTTTCTCCATTCAGTTGCCTTTGCCCCTTTTTCAGTTGACTATATTTGTGAGCGTCTATTTCTGGGCACTTAACTCTGTTCCACTGATCAATTTGTTGATTATTTTACCAGTATCATCTTATCTTCATTACTGTGGCTTTACAGTAAGTTTAAAGTTGGGGAGCGTATTGGTTAGTCTGAGCCTTTTGTCTTTCCATATAAACATTGAAATTATTTTTTCAGTATCCATAGAATAACTTGTGAGATTTTGATTTGAATTATGTTGAATTTATAGATAGAGTTGGAAAGATTTGGCATCTAAACAATATTGAGTCTCCCTATTCATGAACATGGAAGATCTCTCTATTTAGATATTCTTTGATTTCTTTCACCAGAGGTTTGTACTTTTTTTCATATAGATCTTTTAAATATTTTATTATATTTATGTGTAAAGTTTTTTTTGGTATGTAAATAGTATTGTGTTTCAAATTCCAATTGTTCATTGGAGTATGTAGAAACCCAACTGACTTTTGTGTATTAATCTTGTTTTCTGCAACCTTGCTTGCTCATTTATTGGTTTCAGGTGGTTTGTGGGGTTTTTTTTTTTTTTTTTTGGTCAATTCTTTGAAATTTTCCACATTAGCATTCATGTCATTTGTGAACTAAGTTCTTCCTTCCCAATCCCAATATTGCTTTTTTTCTTTCCCTTTTCTTGTCTTTTTTTTCTTTCCTTTTTTTTTTTTTTTTTTTTTAATTTTGAGATGGAGTCTCGCTCTGTTGTCCAGGCTGGAGTGCGGTGCCACGATCTTGGCTCACTGCAACCTCTGCCTCCCAGAGTCAAGTGATTCTCTTGCCTCAGCCTCCTGAGTAGCTGGGACTATAGGCACAAGCCACCAAGCCTGGCTAATTTTTTGTATTTTTAGTAGAGATGGGGTTTCACTGTTTTAGCCAGTTTGGTCTCGATCTCCTGACCTTTTGATGCACCTGCCTCAGCCTCCCAAAGTGCTGGGATTACAGGCGTGAGCCACCGTGCCCGGCCTTCTTTCCCTTTTCTTGTCTTATTACATTAGCTAGGACTCTAAGTACAATGTTGAATAGAAGTGGTGAGGGGGACATCCTTCCCCTGTTTTCTGATTTTGGGAGGAAAGCATCCAGTTCCTCACCATTAAGTATGTTAGCTGTAGGCTTTTGTAGATGTTCTTTATCAAATTGAGGAAGTCCCATCTATTCCTAGAGTGCTGAGAATTTTTAATATGAATGTCTGTTGAGTTTTGTCAAATGCTTCTTCTGCATCTATTGATATGATCATATGATTTTTCTTCTTTAGCCTACCAATATGATAAATTATATTATTTGACTTTCCAATATTGAACCAGACTTATATAACTGGAATAAATCCCACTTGGTTGTGGTGTATAATTCCTTTTATACATTGTTAGATGCTATTTGTTAATATTTTGAAGATTTTTGCATCTATGTTCATGAGAGATACTGGTCCATAGTTTTTCTTTCTTGTAATGTCCTTATATGATGTCCTTATACCTATTCTGGTATTAAGATAATGCTGGCCTCATAGAATGAGTTAGAAAGTATTTCTTCTGCTTTTATCTTCTGAAAGAGATTATGAAAAATTGGCATCATTTCTTTCTTTAATGTTTGGTAGAATTCCCCAGTGAAATTGCCTGGGCTGGACACTTTCTTTTCCGGAAGGTTATTATTTATTTATTTATTTTCTTTATTTAACATAGGGATCTTCAGATTATCTGTTTTTTCCACGTGTGAGTTTGGTAGATTGGGCCTTTCAAGGGAGTGGTCCAATGTATCTGAGTCATTAAATTTGTTGGCATGAAGTTGTTCATAGTATTTTTTTTTATTATCCTTTTAATGTCCATGGAATCAATAGTGATGATCCCTCTTTCATTTCTGATATGAGTAATTTATGTCTTCTCTCTTTCCTTGGCTAGACTGGCTACAGGTTTATGAATTTTATTAATCTTTCAAAAAAACCAGCTTTGGTTTGATTAATTTTCTCTATTGATTTCCTGTTTTCAATTTCATTCATTTCTGCTCTAATTTTTGTTACTTCTATTTTCTGCTTGCTTTAGGCTTATACTGTTCTTTTTCTTTAGTTTCCTTTGTTGAAAGCTTAGATCCTGATTTTAGATTATTCTTCTTTTCTACCATATGCATTCAGTGCTGTATATGTAATTTTATTTTCAAAGCCAGAAATCATTTATTGAGTAATAGAAACTGAAGTAAATAACACTGCTTTCAGTCACTGAATCCCACAAATACTGAGTTGTATTTTTGTTTTCATTTAATTCAAAATAGTTTTAAATTTATCTTGAGACTCATTGTTTGGCCCATGCATTATTTATAAGTGTGTGGTATAATTTCTAAATAATTTGTTATTTTCCTTCTGTTTTTCTGTTATTGATTTCTATTTAATGTCATTGTGATGTGAAAGAATACTTTACATGATTTTTATTCTTTTAAATTTGTTAAGGTGTGTCTTATGGCTCAGCATGTGGTATATTTTGTTAAGTGTTCCATGTGAGCTTAAGAAGAATGTGTATTATGCTCTTCTTGTATGAAGTCAACAACTGTCCTATACATGTCAGTTAGAACTAGTTGACTGATAATGATATGTAGTTAACTAAATTCTTACTACTTTATGCTTGCCATGTCTGTCAATTACTGATAGAGGAGTGTTTAAGTCTCCAAGTATAATAGTGAATTTGTCTATTTCTCTTTGCAGTTCTGTTTTTGCCTCACGTATTTTGATGCTCTGTTCTTAGGCCCATATACTTTAAGAATTATGTCTTCTTGGAAAATTGACCAGTTTATCCTTTTCTAATGCTGCTTTTTATCTCTAATAGTTTTCCTTAAACTGTAGTCTGATTTGTCTGACATTAACGTAGCTACTCTTCCTGTCTTTAGATAAGGGTTAGCATGGTGTGCTTTTTGACATTCTTTTATTTGTAATCTATCTGTGGATTTACATTCAAAGTGTATTTCTTGTAGACAACATATAGTTAGTTTCTGTTCTTTGATCTGCTCTGACAATCTCTGTCTCTTAGAAGGTGTTTTTGAATCATTTCCACTTAAAATGATAATTGATACAGTTGAATTAATATCTACCATATTTGTAACTTTTCTATTTATTGTAGCTGTTTTTTATCTTCCCCTCTTTTTCTGCCTTCTTTGGTCTTAATTGAGGATTTTACATAATTCAATGTTCTATTCTCTCAGCATATCAATTATACTTCTTTAAAAAAAAATTTAGTGGTTTCTCTAGAGTCTGCAATACATTAATACATTTACAACTAATCTAAGTCCACCTTCAAATGACATCATACTGCTTAATGGGTAGTGCAGGTAAAGTATTCCTGATTCATCCCCTAGTACACTGCTGCCAATTATTTTATTTATCCACATGCTATAATCATCGAACACATTGTTGCTATTATTGTTTTGAGCAGACAGTTAAAAATTATGAATAAAATAAAGATTTTTATTTTTATTTATTCATTCTCTGACACTTTTTCATTCTTTACATATTTCTGAGTTTCTAACCTATATACTTTCCTTTTCTCTAAGAACTTTTTAAAAATAATTTTTTGCAAGGCAGATCTACCAGTAAAAAATTCTCTCAGTTTTTACTTGAGAAAGTATTTCTCCTTTGCTTTTGAAGGTGATACAGTTTGGCTGTGTCCCCACCCAAATCTCATCTTGAATTTCCATGTGCTGTGGGAGGGACCCAATGGGAGGTAACTGAATCATGGGGGCAAGTCTTTCCTGTGCTGTTCTGGGGATAATGAATAAGTCTCATGGGATCTGATGGTTTTAAAAAGTGGAGTTCCTGCACAAGTTCTCTCTCTTTGCCTGCTGCCACCCATGTAAGATGTGACTTGCTCTTTATTGTCTTCCACTATGATTGTGAGGCTTCCCCAGCCACGTGGAACTGTAAGTCCCGCTAAACCTCTTCCTTGTATAAATTGCCCAGTCTTGGGTGTGTCTTTATCAGCAGTGCAACAATGGACAAATACAGAAGAATAATTTTGCTGGATACATAATTGTAGGTTGGTGGTTTTTTTCTTTCAACACTTTAAATACTTCACTCTACTTTTTTTCTTGCTTGAATAATTTCTCAAGAGAATTCTGGTATACTTCTTATCTTTGCTCCTATGTAAGTAAGGTGTTTTTTTCCTCTGGTTTCTTTCAAGATATTCTCTGTGTTTGGTTTTCTGCAATTTGAATATGCTATAATTAGATTTTTAAAAACATCCTCATTGTGTTCTCTGCCCTTTTAATCTGTGGTTTGCTTTCTGGCACTGATTTTTGGAAATTCTCATTATTAATCCAAATATTTCTTCTGTTCATTCTTCTTCTGATATTCTTATTTATTTATTTTTTTTTCCCTGAGACAGGGTCTCACTCTGTCACCCAGATTGGTGTGCAGTGGCATGATCACAGTTCATTGCAGCCACTACCTCCCTGGGCTCAGAAGTTCCTCCCACCTCAGCCTTCTGAGTATCTGGGGCTACAGACAAACACCACCATGCCTGGCTAAATTTTGTATTTTTTGTAGAGATGGTGTCTGACTATGTTGCCCAGGCTGCTCCTGAACATCTGGGCTCAAACAGTATCCCCCTATGCTTCCTAAAGTGCTAGGATTACAGGAATAAGTCACCATATCTGGCCACTTACTATGTGTATCTTAACACCCTTTGTAATTGACCCACAGCTTTTGAATATTCTGTTCCTTTTTTCCCCCTTATTTTTTTCTGTTTACATATCAGTTTGGGAAGTTTCTATTAACATATCTTAAAGCTTATTGATTCTTTCCTTGCCAGTGTCCAGCATACTAATGAGCACACCAAAGGCATTCTTCACTTTCGTTACAGTGCTTTTATTTTCTAATGTTTTATTCTGATTCTTTTGTAGAATTTTTCTCCCTGTTTATATTGCCCATCTGTTCTTGCATGTTGTCCACTTTTTTTTTCATTAAAGCCCTTAGCACATTTAATAGGGTTTTTAAATTCCTGGTCTAATAATTCCAAAATCAGTGTCATATTTGAGCCACGTTCTGATGCTTGCTTTGTCTCTTCAGACAATTTTGTTTGTTTTGGTTTTGGTGTTTTGCCTTTTAGTATGGTTTATAATTTTGTTTTCAAAGCCAGAAATGATTTATTGAGTAATAGAAACTAAACAGGCCTTTAGTTTATGAGCGTTTATGTTTATATGGCTAGAAGTTAAGCTGTGTTTAACGGCTGCTGTAGCTGGAGGTGCTAGGGCCTTCCATTTCCTCTAGCCTTTTTGTTTTTGTGTTCTTTGTTGTCTTGGGATTTTCCTAGAGACTCCTTCTTAAATTGAGCCTTAGCTTTATCGTTCTTTCTGCTGTAATCTTGTTTATCACACAGGAGCCTGTTAATGTGGTGGTAATGTATGAGGAGAGGGAAAAATCTTTATAGTCCCATGATTAGGACTTAGTCATTTAGTAAGCCTGTGCCCCTGGGCTGTGACCCTCACAAGTGCTTCTCAGCTTTCCCCTTGTGTAGGTGAGATAAGAAGGTTAGAGGGAGATAGAGCTGGGTACTTCCTTCTTTCAAGGCTTCAGGTTTTGGTAAAGTAGTTTCCTCTGAGAAAAGGCCTTTGTTAAAGAGAACAGATCTCCCTGGGTATATTTAAAAATGGTTGCTTTTCCTCTCCCCTTGCTGGAAGAAGGAAGTGATTTTTCTTTGATCTTCACTTTGGTAACTTTGTTGTCTCTAGGAGGTAAAACTCATGAAATTATGAACTCTCCCACCACCCCTCCTGCCAGCCTGAACCCAAAAGAGTCTTTGAATTTCAAGCTAGTCCACACTTAGCTTCCATAAATCAGTCAATTACCACTTAAGTTTGCCTGCCCATTAGTTACTTACTTGCTCCAGTAGCTTCTACTTTAATTGTATCATTTAAATTTCAGTGTTCTTTTGTTGCTGAAATATAACAATATAATTAAACTTTGTATATTGACCTTATATCTATCACCTTGTGGAATTCACTTATTAATGCTAATGCATTTTCTGTTAATTTTTAAATGGATTTTCTATGTACACAATCATGTTATTTAAAAATAATTACAATTTCATTTCCCATTATTTCTAATTTTGATAGCTTTTTTTTTTTTTTTTTCCTTATTGCAACTACTGCCTATTATAATGTTGAATAGAAGTGGTGACTGAGTATCTTTGTTTCATTCTTTATTTGGGTAAAATCTTTCAATATTTCCCATTAGGTGTGATGTTTATTTTAGAGTTCTTTCTCTTCCAAGCTACTCTATCAGTTAAAGAATGTTCCCTTCTAATCCCACACTCAGAATTTTTTTTTTTCTTTTATCGTGAATGGGTGTTGAATTTTATCAGGTGCTTTTTTGGCATCTATTTAGTTGATTGTCCTTTTATTTTCTTAGTGTGGCAAATTACATTGACTAATTTTTTGAACATTAAATCAACTTTGCATCCTAGAATAAATCCAATTTGGACTTGTTTTATTATACTTTTGATTAGGTCCTCAATTTGGTTTGTTAATGCTTTATTTAGTATTTTTACACTACGTTATTAGGGAGACTGGCTTATAAGTTTTCTTTCTTTGCTGATTTTGGTATCAAGGTTAACTGGCTTCATAAAATGAAGTGGAAAGTGTTCCCTTTTTCTATCCCTGGGTGAGTTTGTGTGAGATCAGTGTCACTCCTTCTTAAATGTTTAGAAGGATTTCATTAGTGAAGAATTTGGGCATAGAATTTTACTTGTGGGAAAGAATTAAATTACAGTCTCACTTTCTTTCATACATGGATGACAATTCAGATTTTCTACTGCATCTTATCTTAGTTTTGGCAAGTAATGCTTTACCAGGAATTTGCCTATTTTATTTATATTTTGAAATTTATTGGTATGACATTTTTATAACATCCCCTTTTCTTCATAATATTGATAATTTATGTATTGTCTTCTTTCTAGCTCATTTTGCCAATGATTATCCATTTTATTAACTTTTTTTCAAACAAACAATTTTTCCTTTTGTTGTGTTTCTTTGCTGTATGCTTGCTTTCTATTTCATGGATTTCTGCTCTTATCATAATTATTTCCTTCCTTGTACTGTATTTTGGTTTCATTTGCTATTCTTTTTCTAACTTTTCTAGATCAACATTTAGATTATTCTTTTTCAACCTTTCTTCTCTAACACATGCATTTAACACTTTATCCTTCTGATTATGGCTTTAGCTATACCCCATATATTTAGACATGTTCTATTTTCATTAATCAGTTCAAAATATTTTCTAAGTTATATGGTGCTTTTCTCTTTGATCTATAGATTCTTTAGAATGTATTCTTCACTGTATGTGGAATCTTGGTGATTTTCTTTCTTCTTGTTTTTTATTTATTTTTTTGAGACGGAGTCTTGCTCTGTTGCCCAGGCTGAAGTGCAGTGGCACGACCCCTGCTCACTGCAAGCTCCGCCTCCTGGGTTCATGCCATTCTTCTGCCTCAGCCTCCCAAATAGGTGGGACCACAGGCGCCCGCCACCACACCCAGCTAATTTTTTATATTTTTATAGAGACAGGGTTTCAACGTGGTCTCGATCTCCTGACCTCGTGATGAACCTGCCTCGGCCTCCCAAAGTACTGGGATTACAGGAGTGAGCCACCGTGCCCGGCCAAGAATCTTGGTGATTTTCTAGCTATCTCTGCTTTTTAAAAATGTTTTAATTCTATCCTGGTCAGAGAATGCATTCTCTATTATTTCAATCCTCTAAAATTTTGAGAGACTCACTTTGTGGCTCAGGTCAGTTTTGGTGTTTGTTCCAAGTGCACTTGAAAATAATATATACCGTGGTTGTTGAATTTAGTATTCTACATATGTCACTATGCCAACAGCTTATTAATCATGTTCTTCAAGTTCTTTATATAATTATTGATGTTAGGCTTCCTCGTTCTATTAGTTACTGAGATGTATGTTAAATTAACTATGATTATAGATTTATATATTTCCTCTTTTAATTCTTTCAATTTTTGATTTACAGATTTAAAACTATATTTTGAAGTATATTCAAATTTAGAATCATTGTGACTTTCTAATAGATGGATCCTTTTATCATTATTAAATATATCTCTTTATTTTTAGTAATGCTTTCTCAATTAAGATCAACTTGTCAGATAATTGCATAGCTGTACTTACTTTCATTTGGTTGATATTTGAAGGGTATATCGTTTTCTATTATTTTACTTTCACACTTTCCAGATTCTTACACCTAACCATATATTAGGATGTCTCTTTTGTAAGCAGCTTAGTGTCGCTATTATTAAAAAATCCAATCTGATGATCATTGTGTTTTAATTGGAATATTTATTTAATTTACATTTAATGTGATTTCAAATATATTTAAATCTAAATTTATCATTTACCCTTTGTTTCCTATTTGCTATGTTTTAAAATTTCCTTTTTCTTCTCCTTTCTTGGCTTCTTTTGAATTAATGTTTTTATGATTTCTATTTCCTTCTGTATCATTCCCTTTGTGATTGGCCTAGAGAGTATACCATCCATCTGTATCTTATTATCAGTCTTCTATATATCATAATCTTCCTGAACAACTCTAGAACTTCACAACATTTTAACTCCTTTTATCCTTTTCCCAACTTTTATACTATTTAGTTATATATCTTAATTTGGTATATATTTTAAACCCCCGAAGGCATTATTATAGACTGAACTGTGTCCCTCACCCTAATAATTTACATGTTGGAGTCCTAACCCCCAACATCTCAGAATATGACTATATTTAGAGATATGGCCTTTAAAGAGGTAGTAAAGGAAAAATGGGTCATTAGGTTGGGCCCTAATCCTATATGACTGGTATGCTTCTAAGGAGAGGAGATGAGGACACGGACACACACACAGAGAAGACCATGTGAAAACACAGGGAGAAGACAGCATCTGCAAACCAAGGAGAGGGGCCTCAGGAAAAACCACCCCTACCCACACCTTGGACTTCCAGCTTCCAGAACTGTGAGATAGATTTCTGTTGTTTAAGCCCTCCAGTCTGTGGTACTTTGTTATGTCAGCCAGAGACAAATACAAACATCATGATTGTTATTGTTTTAAACAGTTTTATCCTCTTATTTATTCTATTGTTTCTTATTCCTCCCACATCATTATGCTCCCTTCAGGATAATTTTCCTCATTCATGGTAAATTTCTTCAGTATTCCTTTTTGAATTGGTATGCTTGTGACAAATTATTTTGGCTTTTGTCTGAAACATCATTACTTTGTTTTTAATTTATTAATTGGGAAAATGTTAATTAATATAGTATCATTTTTTAACAATCACTTGTGCCAAGCACTGTATTTAATATTCTATATAATTTTTTCACTAAATATTTACAACAGTCCAAGGAAGTAGAATTGGCCATCTCCACTTTACAAGTAAGAAAACTGAGATTGCCACAGATCTTTGAAGGTTACCTAGCTAGTAAATAACAACATTTGTCTTTATTTTGAAGGATATTCGCACTGGGTATTGGATTCTAGGCTGATAGTCATTTGCTTTTAGCATTAAGGATGTCATTTCATTATCTTCTAAATTCTATTTATCTGTTGAAAAGTCAGCTTTATCCACACATTTTATATACGTATACATGCACATGTATAGCAGGATACACAAGAAAGTGTAATAGTTACTGTTTCCGAGGACTCTAGGAGAGAATGCATTTCCCTGCCTTTTCCAACTTTTCAAGGCCACTCACATTCCTTGGCACATGACCCCATCCCTCTTCCCCCATCTTTAAAGTCAGAATGGCCAGTTGAGTCTTCCTACAATGCCAAGGTTTTGGTCCTGACGCTTCTGGCTCCCTCTTATAAGATACTTATATCTTAAGTATAAGAATATACTTAAGGATGCTTGTGATTACACTGTGATCACCTGGATAATTACATGGGACCAACTGCCCCATTTGCTGATCAGCCACATCAACCTCACCTGCATGCTTAATTCCTTTTTGCCATGTAAGTAACATATTCACAGGTTCTGGGGATTTGGCCTTGGGCATCTCTGAGGATATGGGGTGGTTGAGGTGTATAACACAGGCAAGACATAAAAGGTAGAAAGTTCATGCTGGGGGAGTGACACTGCAAAAGAATTTGGCAGTTTTTTCAAGATGAGCTGGAAGTGCAGCCTGTTCCTTTAGTGGCAACAAATCATGGATTCACTGGGTAAAACCAATTTCATACAGCCCCTGCCCATTGTTCTACCGAATATGTTCAGATTGTGGGTCCTGGTTTTGATGCCCCAAATCCCAATTACATAAGAGAAGGAACACAACAGATGCTAATGATAGGTTACTCCTCCCCAAGAATTACTGCATTCCCCTTTTCATCAAATTAAAGCTTATCTGCTGGAATGGACAATACCTTTGTTTCTCTGTGAGCCATGAGGGGCCATAGTCGGGTCTGAATGACTATGGACTGTGCATGCTGACAATATTTCTTCACTTCTTTGCTCTCCTCTGGAAGTGTACAAGGGTTTTTTGCCTGTTCAAAGGAGGACTTCATTGGTAATCAATGACTCTCAGCAGTAAATAATAACAGCCACAACTAACCATGAGTCTGGGATTGTGCCAAGTGTTTTACATGTAAGCTCTGCTGCTGGCCGTTGGCTCCCACGCATAGACCTCTTGTTTTGCCACTCCTTGGCCAGGGCCTCCCACAGTGCTTGGCTCAGAGTAGGTGTTCAATAAATATAAGTAATATGTGTAATGCTATCAACTTTTCACAGCATCTTTAAGATGCTATAATTCCCCTATTTCGTTGCCTGGAAACAGGCTCAGAGAGGCTAAATGACCTCTTGCAATCACAGATCATGTACATGGCAGAACTGAGATTCAAAGCCAGGTCTGACTCTTGAGTCCAGGCTCTTAGCTTCTACACTCACCCATCTCATGTTCAGTATAGTCTGCATGGCAGACACACACCCCAAAGAAGGCACATCAAGGAAAATTTGGGAGTCAAGTCTGAAAACTGAAGTCAATAAGATCCAATATAAAATGAATCAGATTAACCACTTGGAGTGATGGTCTGTTGCTTGATCATTAGCAAGTTTTCCAAGTTTCCTTAAGGGAGAACAAAGTGCATCTTAACTAAGTGTAGAAAAACAGTTCAATCAAAGTGGCTGTGATGCTTAAGTTTATGTGTCAACTTGGCTAGGTCATGGTACTGTGTCCAGAGTTGGTTCCTTCCGGTGGGTTCGTGGTCTTGCTGACTTCAAGAATGAAGCTGCAGACCTTCGTGGTGAGTGTTACAGCTCTTAAAGATGGCATGAACCCAAGAGTGAGCAGTAGCAAGGTTTATTGTGAAGAGCCAAAGAACAAAGCTTCCACAGCGTGGAAGGGGACCCTAGCGGGTTGCCATGGCTGGCTGGGGTGGCCAGTGTTTATTCCTTTATTTGTCCCTTCCCAGGTTCCATTTTTGTCCTATCAGGGTGCCCTTTTTTCAATCCTCCCTGCGATTGGCTACTTTTAGAATCCTGCTGATTAGTGCATTTTACAGAGCGCTGATTGGTGCATTTTACAGAGTGCTGACTGGTACATTTTACAATCTTCTTGATAGCTACAGAGTGCTGATTGATACGTTTTTTATAGAATGCTGATTGGTGCATTTTACAATCCTCTTGCTAGCTACAGAGCCCTGATTGGTGCATTCTTACAGAGCGCTGATTGGTGCATTTTACAATCCCCTTGCTAGCTACAGAGCACTGATTGGTGCGTTTTACAATCTTAGCTACAGAGTGCTGATTGGTGCATTTTACAATCCTCTTGTAAGACAGAAAAGTTCTCCAAGTCCCCACTCAACCCAGGAAGTCCAGTTGGCTTCACCTCTCAGTACCTTACCAGATGGGTGTGTCCTTAACCTTGGCAAAATAAACTTTCTAAATTGATTGAGACCTGTCTCAGATACTTCTGGGTTCACAATATGATGCTGTAAAAGAAGCATACACACACGTAGGGAGATGGGACTATTAAAGTGGATTTATTAGGTATGACCTCCTCACCAGCCTCCTAACTACGTCCCAAAGATGGCCCAGAGTCATTGAGAAATTCACTGGTGACAGGGACATGCACATCCTGTCAAGGTCCTGTAGTGGTTGTCCACTGCACCTGGAAGAAGGTGGGCCTGGAGGAAGGTGGGGGACTGCTGCTTCTCAAGTGGGCTCTGATTGCAGGGAAGAGTATGGGATCCCTCAAGGCAGAGCCCAGCGCAGCACATGACAGCCAGAAGCAAGGTGTCATGGCTCCTCAGAAGGTCAGTAGGGCCCGAGTGGAACGCAGGTGACCTGACCTGCCCAGATCTTAGGCAGAGGCTGCTTGATAATGAGGTCTCTCCTTGCATAAACTTCCTGAGAAAATAATTTTACCTGTAATTTATTTCCATCTTAAAATGAAAATAACCCCAACCAAGAGTTCATCTTCTCATTTATAAACACTGCACATCTCCAAGGATGAAAGTTCTTGAGAACAGAGCTTTTCAAATTTTTATGTTCATTTGAGTCACCCTGGATCTGTCAAAATACAGACTCTGACTCAGGAGGTCTGGGGTGAGGTCTGAGATGCTGCATTTTTCACACACTCCCGGGAGATGCTGCTGCTGCTGCTGCTCTGTGGGCCATGCTGGGAGTGGTTAGTTTTTAAAGATAAGAGAACATTGACGGAGGGCTGAGGGATGGGTCCGGCTTTCCCCCACCCCAGCTGTACTACTGTGCTTTAACCAGAGTAGCCCCCAGCCTTTTTACAAAAGTCTTATCTCAGATTTTATTTAAAAAAAAAAAAAAAAAAAGCAGCTCTAATTTAAAGCAGATTTAATGTTAAAAAAATAGGCCTAAATATTCATGACGAATTTTCAATTAAAAAAAAGAGAGACATACGACCAAGTCATTCTAGTTTCCATTGTTATCTTCTGGAATTCTTTTCAGTTCCAGTTTTCATTCATTCAAGAAATAATTTTTGCAAGGCTACTCTGTTCAAAGCACCATAAATGCTGAATTTGTCTAATATTAGTTTTTGCAAAGTTGAAATCTCCATCTTTGGCTCTTCTGACCTGGGAATCCTATCTGTAAAACTTCAGCTGCTTCTGGCACAACACAATCCTCTCTCCCCATGCCAGGGTTGGAGTTTGATGGTTTACACATGTTCATTTCAATCTCCTGTTATTGGGAAAGACTGTCGCCACCCAAGGTCTGGAGAGCCGACAGACCTTTCAGAGGGGGTTCACAAGGGCCCATTTTGTAGAGGCCACACATTTCTTTAGATAAAATTATGAGGAAATGAGGAAAGGCAAGAGAAAATGGCTTTCAAATAGACCTATTATCTGTGCATTTCATGTGCTCCTAAATTTCTATAAATGCCGATGACTCTTGATTCCAGAGAGGTACAGTATTTACTGCTGGTTCACCTTCCATTGGTTGTGATTCCTAACACATTAATGTTATGTCTTTCGGGCTATTGAGTTATTTAAAAAATCACACTCAGGGCTCCAGTTAAATGTCAGCTTCTTTGTGATGTCATTCCTGACAGTCCTGTCCTTGTTAGAAATAACTGATTCTTACTCTGCCCTCTGAATATGCAGCTATGTAGAAGTTCCCAATAGATGGTAGATATTAATAACAGATGTGTATGTTTTGAAGTAATGTTTTATAAGAGTATTATAGTCTTTTTAAAATTTATTTTAAGTTCTGGGATACATGTGCAGAATGTGCAGGTTTGTTACATAGGTATATGTGTGCCATGGTGGTCTGCTGCACCTGTTGACCCATCCCCTAAGTTCCCTCCCCTCGCCCCACACCCCTAACAGGCCCTGGTGTGTGATTATCCCCTCTCTGTGTCCATGTGTTCTCATTGTTCAACTCGCACTTATAAGTGAGATCATGCGGTGTTTGGTTTTCTGTTCCTGTGTTAGTTTGCTGAGGATGATGGCTTCCAGCTTCATCCATGTCCCTGCAAAGGACACGATCTCATGCCTTTTTTTTATGACTGTGAAGTATTCCATGGTGTACATGTACCACATTTTCTTTATCCAGTCTATCATTGATGGGCATTTGGGTTGGTTCCATGACTTTGCTATTGTAAATACTGCTGCAATAAACATACGTGTGCATGTGTCTCTATAGTAGAATGATTTATATTCCTTTGGGTATATGCACAGTAATGGGATTGCTGGGTCAAATGGTATTTCTGATTCTAGATCCTTAAGGAATCGCCATACTGTTTTCCACAATGGTTAAACTAATTTACACTTCCACCAACAGTGTAAAAGCGTTCCTTTTCTCCACAGCTTCACCAGAATCTATTGTCTCTTGACTTTTTAATAATTGCCATTCTGACAGGCATGTGATAGTATCTCATCGTGGTTTTGATTTGCATTTCTCTAATGATCAGTGATGTTAAGCTTTTTTTCATGTGTTTTTGGCTGTGTAAATGTCTTATTTATTTATTTATTTATTTAGAGACAGAGTCTTGCTCTCCAGGCTGGAGTGCAGTGGCACAATCTCAGCTTACTGCAAGCTCCGCCTCCCGGGTTCACACCATTCTCCTGCCTCAGCCTCCCAAGTAGCTGGGACTACAGGTGCCCACGCCTGGCTAATTTCTTGTATTTTTAGTAGAGACGGGGTTTCACCGTGTTAGCCAGGATGGTCTTGATCTCCTGACCTCGTGATCCACCCACCTCGGCCTCCCATAATGCTGGGATTACAGGCGTGAGCCACTGCGCCCGGCCAAATGTCTTCTTTTGAGAAGTGTCTGTTCATATCTTTTGCCCACTTTTTGATGAGGTTGTTTTTTTCTTGTAAGTTTCTTTAAGTTATTTGTAAATTTTGAATGCTAGGCCTTTGTCAAATGGGCAGATTGCAAACATTTTCTCCCATTCTGTAGGTTGCCTTTTCACTCTGATTATAGTTTCTTTTGCTGTGCAAAAGCTCTTTAGTTTAATTAGATCCCATTTGTCAATTTTGGCTTTTGTTGCAATTGCTTTTGGTGTTTTTGTCATGAAGTCTTTGCCCATGCCTATGTCCTGAATGGTATTGCTTAGGTTTTCTTCTAGGGTTTTTATGGCTTTGGGTTTTCCATTTAAGTCTTTAATCCATCTTGAGTTAACTTTTGTATAAGGTGTAAGAAAGAGGTCCAGTTTCAGTTTTCTGTATATGGCTAGCCAGTTTTCCCAGCACCATTTATCGAATAGGAGATCCTTTCCCCATTGCTTGTTTTTGCCTGGTTTGTTGAAGATCAGATGGTTGTAAATGTGTGGTGTTATTTCTGAGGTCTCTGTTCTGTTCCGTTGGTCTATATGTCTGTTGGTACCAGTACCATGCTGTTTTTGTTACTGTGGTCTTGTATTACAGTTCAAAGTCAGGTAGCGTGATGCCTCCAGCTTTGTTCTTTTTCCTTAGGATTGTCTTGGCTATACGGGATCTCCTTTGATTCCACATGATATTTAAAGTTGTTTTTTTCTAATGCTGTGAAGAATGTCAATGGTAGTTTGATGGGAATAGCATTGAATCTATAAATTACTTTGGGCAGTATGGCCATTTTCATCATACTGATTCTTCCTATCCATGAGGATGAAATGTTTTCCCATTTGTTCATCCTCTCTTATTTCCTTGAGCAGTGGTTTGTAGTTCTCCTTGAAGAGGTCCTTCACATGCCTTGTTAGCTGTATTCCTAGGTATTTTATTCTCTTTGTAACGATTGTGAATGGGAGTTCATTCATGATTTGGCTCTCTGCTTGTCTATTGTTGGTGTAAAGGAATGCTTGTGATTTTTGCACATTAATTTTGTATCCTGAGACTTTGCTGAAGTTGCTTATCAGCTTAAGGAGTTTTTGGGCTGAGATGATAGGGTTTCTAAATATAAAACCATGTCACCTGCAAACACAGACAATTTGACTTCCTCTCTTCCTATTTGAATACCCTTCCTTTCTTTCTCTTGTCTGACTGCCCTAGCCAGAACTTCCAATACTATGTTGAATAGGAGTGGTGAGAGAGGGCATCCTTGTCTTGTACCAGTTTTCAAAGGGAATGCTTCCAGCTTTTGCCCATTCAATATGATATTTGCTGTGGGTTTGTCATAAATAGCTCTTATTATTTTGAGATATGTTCCATCCATACCTAGTTTATTGAGAGTTTTTAACATGAAGGGTTGTTGAATTTTATCAAAGGCCTTTTCTGCATCTATTGAGATAATCATTTAGTTTTTGTCATTGGTTCTGTTTATGTGATGGATTACGTTTACTGATTTGTGTGTGTTGAACCAGCCTTGCATCCCGGGGATGAAGCCAATTTAATTATGGGGGATACGTTTTTTGATGTGCTACTGGATTCAGCTTGCCAGTATTTTATTGAGGATTTTCACATTGATGTTCATCAGGGATACTGGCCTGAAGTTTTCTTTTTTTGTTGTGTTTCTGCCTGATTTTGGTATCAGGATGATACTGGTTTCATAAAATGAGTTAGGGAGGAGTCCCTCCTTTTCAATTGTTCGGAATAGTTTCAGAAGGAATGGTACCAGCTCCTCTTTGTACCTGTGGTAGAATTTGGCTGTGGATCTGTCTGGTTCTGGGCTTTTTTGTTGTTGTTGTTGGTAGGCTATTAATTACTGCCTCAATTTCAGAACTTGTTATTGGTGTATTCAGTGATTCAACTTCTTCCTGGTTTAGTCTTGGAAGGGTGTATGTGTCCAGGAAATTATCAATTTTTTCTAGATTTTCTAGTTTATTTGCATAGAAGTGTTTATAGTATTTACTGATGGTAGTTTATATTTCTGTGGGGTCAGTGGTGATATCTCCTTTATCATTTTTTATTGTGTCTATTTGATTCTTCTCTCTTTTCTTCTTTATTAGTCTAGATATTGGTCTACTTATTTTGTTAATTTTATCAGAAAATCAGCTCCTGGATTTATTGATTTTTTGGAGGTGTTTTTGTGTCTCTATTTGCTTCAGTTCTGCTCTGATCTTAGTTATTTCTTGTCTTCCGCTAGCTTTTGGATTAGTTTGCTCTTGCCTCTCTAGCTCTTTTAATTGTGATGTTAGGGTGTCAATTTGAGATCTTTCTAGCTTTCTAACATGGGCATTTAGTGCTATAAATTTCCCTCTTAACACTGCTTTAGCTGTGTTCCAGAGATTGTAGTATGTTGTCTCTTCGTTCTCATTGGTTTCAAAGAACTTCTTGATTTCTGCCTTAATTTCATTATTTACCCAGTAGTCATTCAGGAGCAGGTTGTTCAATTTCCATGTAATTGTGTGGTTTTGAGTGAGTTTCTTAATCCTGTGTCCTCATTTGATTGCACCGTGGTCTGAGAGACTGTTCATTATGATTGCAGGGCTTTTGCATTTGCTGAGGAGTGGTTTTTCTTTTCTTTTCTTTTCTTTTTTTTTTTTTTTTGAGATGGAGTCTTGCTCAAGGAGTGTTTTACTTCCAATTATGTGGTTGATTTTAGAATAAGTGCCATGTGGCACTGAGAAGAATGTATATTCTGTTGATTTGGGGTGGAGAGTTCTGCAGATGTCTATTAGGTCTGCTTGGTCCAGAACTGAGTTCAAGTCCTGGATATCCTTGTTAATTTTCTGTCTCATTCTGTCTAATATTGACAGTGGGGTGTTAATGTCTCCCACTATTATTGTGTGGGAGTCTAAGACTTTTTGTAGGTCTCTAAGCACTGGTTTTATGAATCTGGGTGCTCCTGTATTGGGTGCATATATATTTAGAATAGTTGGCTCTTCTTGTTGAATTGTTTCCTTTACCATTATGTAATGCCCTTCTTTGTCTTTTCTGATCTTTGTTGGTTTAAAGTCTGTTTTGTCAGAGACTAGGATTGCAACCCCTGCTTTATTTTGCTTTCATTTACTTGGTATGCTTTCACTTCCCTTTTTTGCTTTCATTCGCTTTCATTTCCCTTTATTTTGAGCCTATGTGTGTTTTTGCATGTGAGATAGATCTCCTGAATACAGCACACCAATGGATCTTGACTCATCCAATTTGCCAGTCTGTGTCTTTTAAATGGGGCATTTAGCTCATTTACATTTAAGGTTAGTATTGTTATGTGTGAATTTGATCCAGTCATCATGATGCTAGCTGGTTATTTTGCATACTAGTTGATGCAGTTTCTTCATAGTGTCATTGGTCTTTATTTTTTTGGTGTGTTTTTGCAGTGGCTGGTACTGGTTTTTCCTTTCCATATTTAGTGCTGCTTTCAGGAGCTCTCACAAGGCACGCCTGGTGGCAATGAAATTCCTCAGCATTTGCTTGTCTAGAAAGGATTTTATTTCTCCTTCACTTATGAGGCTTAGTTTGGCTGGATATGAAATTCTGGGTTGAAAATTCTTTTCGTTAATGATGTTGAATTTTGGCTCCCACTCTCTTCTGGCTTGCAGAGTTTCTGTTGAGAAGTTTGCTGTTAGTCTGATGGGCTTCCCTTTGTAGGAGATCTGTCCTTTCTCTCTGGCTGCCCTTAACATTTTTTCCTTCATTTTGACCTTGGACAATCTGATGATTATGTGTCTTGGAATTGGTCTTCTCATGGAGTATCTTTGTGGTGTTCTCTGTATTTCCTGAATTTGCATGTTGGCTTGTCTTGCTAGGTTGGGGAAGTTCTCCTGGATAATATCCTGAAGTATGTTTTCCAGCTTGTTTCCATTCTCCCCATCTCCTTCAGGTACTCCAGTCAATCATAGGTTCAGTCTTTTTACAAAGTCCCATATTTCTTGGAGGCTTTGTTCATTCCTTTGCATTCTTTTCTCTGTAATCTTGTCTGCATGTCTTCTTTCAGCAAGGTGGTCTTCAAACTCTGATATCCTTTCTTCCCCTTGGTTGATTTGGCTATTGATACTTGTGTATGTCTCACAAAGTTCTCGTGCTGTGTTTTTCAGCTCAATCAGGTAATTTATCTTCCTCTCTAAACTGATTATTCTAGTTAGCAGCTCTTCTGACCTTTTATCAAGGTTCTTAGCTTCTTTGCATTGGGTTAGATCATGCTTCTTTAGCTCAGCAGAGTTTTTTGTTGCCCATCTCCTGCAGCCTACTTCTGTCAATTCATCCATCTCATCCTCTGTCCAGTTCTGTACCCTTGCTGGAGAGGAGTTGCAATCATTTAAGAGAAGAGGCACCCTGGCCTTTTGGGTTTTTCAGTGTTTTTTCATTGATTCTTTCTCATCTGCATATTTGTCTAGTTTTGCTCTTTGAGGATGCTGATCTTTGGATGGGGTTTTTGTGGGGACTTTTTGTTGTTGATGATGTTGTTGCTTTCTGTTTGTTTGTTTTTCTTTCAATAGTCAGATCCCTCTTCTAAAGGGCTGCTGCTGTTTGCTGGGGGTTCACTTCAGACCCTACTCATCTGGTTCGCTCCCATGCCTACAGATATCACTCAAGGAGGCTGGAGAACAGCAAAGATGAGTCCCTGCTTCTTCTTCTGGGACCTCTCACCTTGAGGGGCACTAACCTGATGCCAGTAGTATCACTCCTGTATAGGCTCTCTGACAACCCCTGTTGGAGGGTCTCACCCAGTTGGGTGGCACAGGGAACAGGACTGGTTTAATGAAGCATTTTGACTGTCCCTTGGTGGAGGGAGTGTGCTTCGCTTTGGGGAAACCCATTCATCTGGGCTGTCCAGATTCCTCAGAACTACCAGGAGGAAAGGCTAAATCTTCCTTTCCTCCTGGTAATGGAGGTGCGGCCACCCCTCCCATTAGGGGCTCAGGCCCAGGGAGATCTCGGTTCTGTCCCTGAGCCTCTGGCTGCAGTTGTTGGAGTTCCTGCAGGGAAGCCCTGCCCAGTGAGGAAGGATGTGTCAGTGTCAGGCCTGAAGAGGCGCTCTGGCCACAGTCTGCCACAGCTGGTATGTTGGGCTGTGGGGGACACCTCTTGGGGACCAAGCCGTGGTGCCTCCCTGACTCCAGCAGGAGAAAAGTGCGGCCTGACTATAGAAATGGCTTCTGCCCTTCCCCCGCTCAGGGAGCTTAGTGTGTTAGGCAGTTATGAGTCCCAGTGCTGGCTGCTGCCTCTACCCCAAGGAGCTCAAATGGCTTAGGCAGCAGGCAGCTGCAGCTGTGGTGTTGGTCACCCCTCCCCCCGGAAGCTTGGCAGGCTTAAGCAGATTCCAGTGAGGGGCTGTTGAGAATGTGCGCGGCTCCAAGTTTGGGACCCTAGGCCCCGGTGGCATGGGTTTGCCAGTGGGATCTTCCAATCCGTAGGTTGCACAGTTCTGTGTAAAAAGCACGGTTTCCCCGGCTGGGTAGCACGCTCACTCACCGCCTCCCTTTGCTGGGGGTGGAACTCCCCTGCCCCGTGTGGCTCTTAGGTGGCTGCCACACTCCACTGCTCTTCCTTCCTTATCATGGATCACATCAGGTGCCTAAGTCAGTCCTGATGAGAGAACCTGGGTAGCTTGGTTGCCCATGAAGGATTTACGCACCAATTATGGTTCTTTTTCATAGGAGCCTTTGATTGCCGCTGTTTCTAGTCGGCTATCTTGGCTCCACCTAGAGTGTAGTCTTTAGAGTAACTGAGACAGGTTTGGTTAAGGCTTGTCCACTCTGCCTGATAAAATATATATAATTAAATTATGTATACATCATATTGGTGCATTGTATGTCTTTCATTATAACCCATAATACAGTCAGATTTGTAGTGTTTACTATTCTTTCTTATAGGTCGTAATCTAATAGAAGAAAGGAATTACATTTCTTTTCTTAATTAATAAATAATTGATTTTTTGAGATGGGGTCTCACTATCTTGCCCAGGCTGGTCTTGAACTCCTGGGCTCAAGTGATTCTCCTGCCTCGGCCTCCCAATTAGCTGGGTCTACAGGTATGAAACACCATGCCTGGCTACATCTATTTATTGTTTGCATTAGGTTCAATATATTGCATTATATCTATAAGCTGCTTGGTAGTTCTGTGAAACCCTTGAAATTATAAGCAAAATTTTATGTCTGTATGTGTGAATACAATTTTCTGGAAAAGGGGTCCATCACTTTCTTTAATTTCTCAGGGAATTTCAAGAAGCCATACAAAGGAATAACCATTGGCCAAAGATCTCACAGAGTCTGTTTATTAAGTAAAAATCTGTTTGTAAGGCACATCAGTTGTAGTACTCGTGCACTAATTTGTAGGTTTTAAGATTTGGATTTTTCTGTATTAGTTGTTCTTGAAATGGGGCTTACATACATAGCAATTCCCTGCTGTGGGATGTTTCAGCTTCTTCTTTTTGCTGGCTGGCTGCCCATGGGCCTTTTCAATACTTTCCGCTTCTGCTGGGAGATGGAATGATACAAGGATAGGAGATAACACAAACCAGTGAGGGTAGCTGCATTATAAGCAGCTCCAATAAGAGCTTTCAGGGAGGGAGAGTTGAAACTACTGATCCAAATGAGGCTTGGGGATTATCAGTGGATATCAATTATCCATAACCTTCTGGTCTCCCATGACTATCAATGACTTAAAGTTGGATGTAAGCTTAAATGATTTCTTTTAACTAAATGAAAAGGATCAAGTTCATAAAGACTGGTGAGCCTTGAGAGTTATGCTAAGACTCCATCACCTGGGCTGGGGTTTTGGCTCGGGGAAGAATTTGATTGGCAGGAAGTAGCAGAATTTCATTTTTAATGCTCTGGTCCATTAATAGCATGAAAGCACCACAGGCTATCTTTGGGAGAATGTCCCTAAAAAGCACAGCACTTCTCAAAGGGGGCGGCATGCTGAAATCTCTACAGAAGGGTGGGAAGGAGAAGCATGAGTGTGTGTATGGGATTTGAAAAACTTCCAAGGGACTGTCACGTGCTGCCCTCCTTGTCCCCACCCTCAGCTGAGGACTCACTGGTCTGTGAAGAATGAAATAGTATCTGTGGGACACATTGTGCTTCTTGGCAAGTTCTGTATTTACCATACTGTTGTCCTGCTTGTTGGCATTCAGAAGCAAACTTGACTTAACACAGGATATCCACTATGCATATTCTAACGTTTCAGCTTCCCCCGTTTATGTTTTTTATTCTACATACACCTGCCTTGACTTTGTCATATTCCTGGTACATGGATTCAGATGGAGACAGTCAAACAGCAAAATTTAGTGTATTTATCTCCAATAATGTGTCTCCCTGGAAAGCAGGAGTCATTTATTTGGGAAGACTCCCCCATTTTCTTCATTTTTGTTGATGGCTGAGTAACAAAACCCAGCCACCTCTTCTTCCCCTACGCTGTGGAGCAGCAAGAGAAAAACTTCTGGCAAGTTTTCCAAAAGGTGCCAGCATCTCAATGACCAAAGGCAAGAATGTCGATGTTGTTCAGCTGGGTGTGTGCCTGGAACATTTGCCCCATTGGAAAAGGAGAAGGTTTGCCTCACAATAGAACTCTGTGTTTCCTGTTAACATTCTGGAAAAACAGAAAATAATAGCAACCCGGGCTCCTCGAGTGCAATGCCACCGTGCCATCCATTTTGTGGCCTTTGGTGTTATTTAGCATTTTGGGTGCTCTCTCTATTGCTAGAGTAAGCAGACATAGAAAAATAGAACGATCAAGGGATATGCACACGCACACACACATGCACACAGATGTCTTACAACAGCGACCTTGGGTCTCATGAGCAGCACAAAGCCCAGAGAAGTTAAACAACTGGCCTATAGTCACACAGCCATGGCAGCGATGGTCACACGTGTTTCTAAATGTGTTCCTTCAGTCCTACGCTTCAGCCCTGGGTGTTGCTGCTTTTGGCTCCCTTTACTTTTAATTTTGTTCTGTTCCTAAAAAAGAACCCAAGAAAAAGAATGCTTACACTACGAGGAACAGAATAACAGAATTCTGTGTTTTTTCATCTTGCTCACAGACCTCCAAACCCAGAGGAGAATTCTGAGTGAGTAGCAGGGTGAGAGCTAAGCCCCAGGCCACGTGCACATGACCCCCACCTCCAGCCGAAAGTCATGGTCACATGTCACGCCTCCATGCGGCTGCAGGGCCAGGCATGTACTAAGAGCCCTGCCATGGGCAGTGCCAGGACGGGAGGAGACACACACTGAGGGCAACTGCTCTGGCCACAGGACCGGAGGGACGCATCCGACCTGAGGCACCTTCCTCCTTGGAGATTTCTGCCTCTGCTTAATTACAGCTGGCTTCTCTGAAGTCAATCTGGTCAAGGTCAACTGGCCACTATGGGAAATCAAGCTCAGGGAGGTAAATTTAGAGAGCTGAAGGGACACCCTCACTGCCTGCTCCAGCTATGACTCAGCGGAAATTCTGAAATGAAGAGCCAAATGCTTGTGGAAGAGAGCAGCATAGAGGCGTGTGGGATTGGCAGTGAATGAGTAAACATCAGGAATGGCTGAATGAATGAATGAACAAATGAAAGCACGAGCCCTTTGCATCTGCAGAGCGGCTCTGGGGAAAGTAACTGGAGTTAAGGACTCTCTGCAATGGGTTAGTTGGAGGATGCTTACAGGACGTGTGGAGTCCTTGGGGGAGCCTGGAGGTGACACTTGCTCCCTCCACGTGACACCCATGCAGTTGGGCAAAGCCTCTGAGTTTGACGGAGGAGGAAATCCTAAGTGGATGGACTTGGAGAGGGCCCGTGGCTCCCAGCCACCATATGACATACAGAAACAGGGTCGGCGGGGTGGTCGGCGGCAGCTGGCAGGCGTCTCTGGTTGGAAACGGAGCAGCTACAAATAGGCGGTGACCTTCTGTAGCCATCCTGCTCCCACAGAAGGAGATGCGCTCTGGGAAGAGGCTGCTGGGTGTGTGCCAGTGCTGAGGCCAGGGGGAAGGAACTCAGTCTTCCCATTGCAAGGAGCTCAGCTCCTTTGGGTAGCAGAGGGAAGGGGGACACCTGTCTCCATCTGGGGTGGAGATCCTGGTCTTACATTCTGCCAGAATGAGAGCCTGAAACACACTCAGTGGAGAATCCTGAAGAAGGACATGTCAGACATAACCCCAGGCGGGGCTCCCGCAAAGGTAGGGCGGGACACTGTCACCTGCGACGGCCATGAAGACTATTCCTTTCTGACCAGCTGGACCCAGTTTTTCTGATGTAGATTAAAGGTGGCAGGAAAAAGACAGAGAGGGGTGCCAGGAAACATCTTTGCCTTCTACTAATTCCAGATTCATTTATTATTTCTTTTAATATTCATCTTTTAAGGGGTAAGTGTCCCTTTCAGAAAGTTATGCCAAAGTCTAAATTACTTGAGACGCTGGTTTGCTTTCCTTCAACACTCTGAGATGACACATTGCACTCTGCAAACATTTATTGAGAATTGCTTACGTACAAGGCACCGTGCCAGATCATAAGACCAAACAAAGATTAATATAAGATTCATAACATGGTCATTGCAAGAGCATGGGCTTTGGAGTCAGACTCAAGTTTAAATCTTAATTCTAGCCCTCTGCCTTTACTTGGTGAAGCTCTTCTGTAAAATGGGTATATCAATACCTGCCTAATGAAGCGAGCAATGAGGATTAAATGGAATTCTTATGCAAAACAACTGGTACCGTGACTTCTGTGCTCCAGGCAATTCGTAAATGAAGATTCCCTCCCCTTGAGGAGAGTGGCAAAGTTGTTCAGTGGGAGAGAGGGTCGTGGAAACTACTACTGAATCCCAAACCAGGATCGGGATTTACTCAGCAACATGCAAGTAACATGGTATAGGACTGCAATGGGAGAAGCTCCAGGGGCATCACAAAAGGAGCATTTACAGTACCTTGAAGGGAAAGAGGGGTTTAATCATTGGAAGGTGGAGTGGGTGGCACCCCAGGCTAAAGGGCTAGCACAGACCCAGGCACAGAAACTGTCAAGTTGTGTAGCCTTCTCTGAGGATGGGGACTGCCCTGATGTGGCTGGGAATGGAGTGTGCCAAGGAGGCCATGGGGGTCAGCCTGGGCTGGAGCCTTGGGTGACCACAGTATCATCTCCTTGAGTGCATCTCATGGCCCTTCAGGGCTCTCCCAGGAGCAGAGGCTGCGTGTGGGCCTCAGTGGCTTCCTCTAGCCTGCTCCCCAAAGCTCTGTATCTAGAAGAAATTCCCCAGAGCTCCAGGATCTGTGACTAGCTCCTTTCCTGGCATGTTTGCTGCAGCTACAGAGGGTTTTAATTGGGCTCTGTGTTCATAGATCAGCTGAATCCCAAGACATATTAGAAGAATCGTATTGTGCCAAGCCATTGGTTGGAAGTCATCCTGTTCCTTTGGGCATTAATTAGACCCTATTTATCCACAGTGTCCAGTTTTGAACATGACCAAAACCTGAAGATATCAAAGAGGAACAGGAAGGGCACAAGGGAGATCACAGGGATAGGGGATCATGCTGTCCCAGACAGGCTGAGAACATAGGTTGCCTGGGGAGGAGGAGGCTAGGAGCAATGTCGGGATTCTCTCTACATAGAGAATTTTCACTAGGACAAAAATTATTTTCCTCCCTGTCTTGGAGACTAGAGAGAAATGCAGGCCAAGCAGCATCAACTGGGGCCACACACAGGGGTCTCTTCTTTCCCCCATCTGCCTTGAGCATCATGACAGATGAGATGAGGAGAAGAAGGTTTGTGCAAACCCATGATACTGTCCCCAAGTCTACTCATGAGACCAGGATGGAGCACACAGGCTGGATAGGGACAGCCTTGCATTGGCTCTAGTGAATTCTTTAAAGACTAAGGCATTTGCAAGCTTCAAATGAGTTCTGTCTTCAGCTCTTTGAGCAGCACATTCCTTGGTGGATCTCACCACAGATTGCAAAGCACAGGGTGCTGGGGCTGGGAAGACTGGGTGGCTATCCCTAACTCTGAGTGTGCCCCCATGGCACAGGTCCCTCGAGGAAGGGCAAGACAGGGTGAAGTCCCAAACTGGCCTCTGTGCAACCAGAGACAGCACCAGGGCACTCACCTGGTGCCTGGAATCTGCAGAAGAGAGGGATCACAGGAAGGGAGGAGAAGGTGAAATTCAGGTTGAAGAAAAGTCAACTGTTGCCTCATTCTCTTGCAGACTCTGGCTCTCAATGTGTTCCTACAAGATAAAGGATGGTGAAGGTGACATGGGCCGGGGACAAACTCAGTGCTTGCCAGTGTCTGGTGCATAAGTGTTGGATAAATGGATTGCCTGGGAGTCAGCTGGAGGTTGATTTTTGCCAATTCCCTTCCTTTCCTTCTTCTTTCCTATGAAGGGGGAAGAGGCTGGCATGCTAGTCCTTAAATAGGAGAGTCCCCTTTCCTAACTTTAATTATTGTGAAACTTTGGCTTCCAGCGAGCAATGTTCAGAAACATAGGGCAGCTTTAACTGACCCGGGAGGACTTGCAGGTAGGCACCAAACAGAAGGTGAGCAGGAGGGAGCGTCCCTTCTTGCTCGTGGATGGAAAGCTCAGCTGGATGGATTTATTAAAGAAGACCTAGACCCACCCTGAGAGATCAGATGCTGATACAGACTGGAAGAAGGGACAGGGCTGTGGTCCTGAAGAGCCCTGCAGAATCAAAACTGATAAGCAAACAAAGCGTGAGGCTGAGCCACACTGTGCAGTTCTCCTTGAGTGTTCCATCCTCATGACAGCAGTGGGGACTGAGTGTTGTTAGTCCTGTTTTCCATGCGAAGAAACTGAGATGCAGAGGCTCAGGGCCGGCAGATCATGACTTCAGTGCTCCTTCTTTCCTCTGCCACAGGCCACTCTGGAGAAAGCTCGTATTGGTGCTGGGTGCGTCAGATCAACGTTCCCCAAAGCAAGGTCCCTGGATTACCCACCTCAGTATCACCTGGGAAGTTGTTAAAAATATAGATTCCAGGCCCCAGACCAGCCTTGCTGAGTCAGAATGTCAGAAGCTAAGGCTAGGGGAGAATTCCTCATAGCTGTTTCTCTGGCTGAGGTTGAGATGAGGGCGAAATGCTTCCCTGGATGCATGTGGCATGTGTTCCACCTCCAACAGCTGTTAAGAATCATTTCCATTTTCTTTAAAGGGGCTTTAAAGGAGGGAGAGCAAGTTGAGAAATTTGATTCTTGAGCAGAAAAAGATCCAGGAACAGAAAGTCATTCAAACAGTGACCAATTTAATCCAAGTTTATTAGTGTATGTATTCTGTGGCCCCTTTTTAAACAGACGTGTTGTGTTCCAATGTATCTGGCATTCATTCCTCCTGTTGACGCTTGGTGCAAACAGGAAAGCTAGTGGACCAGTGACTCAAACTGGATTTTATGGAGCCTCAGTCTCCCTTCTTGGCTTGATTTCACTGAACAATCTGTATCAGTTGAGATGCCTTGAGAAAACTCTGTCTCAAATAGGTTTATCTAATAAGGAAATGGGTTCTCTCCCATCACAAGAGGCTCGGGTGGGTCTCTGGATTTGGTTAATTCAGTGGTTCGATTATGTCAGAACGGACCAGCTTCTTCCTGCCCAGCCACCCCTGTGAGGGCTTTATACCAGGCTGGTGGCAAGTTGGGCTGCAGCAACCCAGGCATCATGGAGCCACAAACAAGCTCTGTCTGAGACAGTAAACTTTCCCAGAAGCCCCCAGCAGCGCTCCTCTCAGGTGTCAGGCTGGAGTTTGCTCATCATGGACCCATGCCTAGATCAGCCACTGGCAGAGGGAGAGGAGAAAGCCACCATCGGCTTAGACCTCTCAGGATCAGCCCTCTGAGCTGGGGTCTTCCCTGACACACAGGCAGACAGGAGGATAGATAGCTTCACAAAATCAGGATTCTGCTCCGAAGAAGGGGGATGAAGGAGTGTCAGCCACAGTTTCTTTCCCAGAAAAGAGCTGGTTTGGAGAAGTCACATACAGTGAATCCCAAGAGTGCCTATTACCCTAAGAGGACAGGTTTTACTGCACCCCTTGATCCAAGTGAGGGCTGAAATTAAGCCTCCTCTGCTCTCTGCTCCTCCTGCCTACTTCACATGCTGAAAGCAGACACAAGCAGTGGTTAGGGAGGAGGATGGAACATCTAAGGGAAAGGTACAGAAGTCTATTTTTTGTATGTGTCCTGTCAATTCCATCCAGAGGATATCCGTATCTTATGTTGTCCTTCAAATTGAAGCTTTGACACCTCTAAAAATATAAGACAGTCTCCGTGGAGGCTAGAGCTTTCTCTGGCAGAACCAAGGAGAGGGCCTCAAACATATACTCAACAAATATTTGTTGGGTGAATAAATGCGTGGATGGATGGATGGACGGGATGTTTGATGAGCACGGTTACACGACAAACTTTAGACAAACTTCTTGCAAACAATGCTGAGTGCTCTAAACAATGCTGCTGGTGAGGTCAGTTGCAGGGCTGGAACTGTGACCTTGTGGAGCTGTCTGTGATCTGGGGTTGGTCCAACCCTTTAGTGTGCTCTAGACATGATCTGTGGGGACAGCTGCTGAGGTCAGCCCTGGCTTCAGTTCCTACACTATGAGGGTGAGGAAAACAACAGCTGGCAAGGGCTTTGTCTCAGTAGGCATCCCCAGGCCTGTGAACTTCGTCCAGCTGAACTTCCCTCCAGGGGCCTGTCGGCACAGAGGGAGGGAGAAGCTGAGATTTTAAGTCTACTTGCTTGATTTCACACTCTGGCAGAGTTGATCCAATCACCGAGCTTGGTGAGCTCTGATGGACTGCCGTATTTTTTCCTATTAGCACTAGAGTATGCAGGGAAACTCCTTTATTTAAATTTATTTTTTTCCAGTTAGAAAATATTTACTTTTGGTGGCAGATGTTACATACATAAGAAACTAAGTTGAGCCTAAAAAATACTGATTTGGGAACTCACTGGAAGTAAATATGGCTGCATCGCATGACCCTGGAGGCCAGAAGTCAAATCAAGGTATCAGTGAAGTTGGTTCATTCTTTTAAAAATCTTTTTATAGTTTTGATAAAATACATGTAACATACAATTGATCATTTTAACAGTTTTAAGAATATAGTTCAATAGTGTTAAGTACATTCACATTGTCGTGCACCAATTTTAGACAGATTTTTAATTGAGGTATATACTATAGAAAAGTACACAAATACTAAACACACAGCTCAGTGAATTTTCACAAAGCAAACATTCCTGTGTAATCCATCCCAGATTAGAAGACAGAATATTATCAGTACCCCAAGAACCCTGCATGCGCCCCTCCAATTCACCCCCACCCATCCCCAAAATGACACTATGATCCTTATTTCTAGCACCATAGGAGTAAGTTTTACCTGTTTTTGAACTTCATATAAATGGAATTGTATGTGTACTATTCTGTGCCTGGTCTCTTTTGTCCAATGTCACGTTTGAGAGATCCCCCCGTGTCATAGTAACAGTAGTTTGTTCCTTTTCATCACAGTGTAGTATTCCATTACATGAATATATTACAGTTTATTTATCCATTCTATTGTTGATGAATGCATGGAGTTTGTTTTCATTTTGGGGTGATAATGAAAACAATATAATATTTATATTTATAATGTTTAGATAATTATAGTGAATATAATTATATTTATTATTTGCTCCATGAATGCTTCTCTGAGCTTTCTTGGAGGTACATTCTTTTGGTGCATATTTGTAATGTAAATCCAGGAGTTGACTTGCTGAATCATAGGATATTCTTGTATTCAAGTTTAGTAGCTACTGTCAGAAGAGTTTCCAAAGCAATTGCTCCAGTTTCCATTCTCACCAGCAGGGTATTAGTGTCCCAATGACTTTACATCTTTACCAACAGTTTTTTTCATGTTCGCCATTCTGGTGTGTGTTTGGTGGAATCTCATTGGAGTTTCCTTTTTTTTTTTTTTCTCTCTCGTTGGAGTTTAATTTGCATTTCCTTGCCATACATTTTTTTCATATGTTTATTGGTCATGTTGATATCCTCTCTGATGAAGCATCTGCTCAAGTCTTTTACCACTATTTTTTAATTAGCTTATCTGTCTTTTCTAATTGATTCGTAGGAGTTCCTTATATATTCTAGGAGTTCTTTATATACTCAACAGAATATATAAGGAATGAATATATATATATATATTCCACAGGAGTTCTTTATATATTCAACAGAACTTTTGTTGGATATATGTATCACAAATGTCTTCTCCCATCCTGTGGCTTGCTTTTTCAATCTCTCCCCAGTGGTGCCTTTTGTTCATCAGAAGTTCTTAATTTTAACATAGTTCAAATTATCACTTTCCTTTATGGTCACTGTTCTTTGCATGTCCTGCTAGAGAAATATTTGTCTACCCCAAGAGCTATGAAGATATTTCCCTGTTATTCAATAGAAGCTTTATTCTTTTGCCTTTCACATTTAAATCTACAATCCACTTGAAATTTTGCCTTGCTTTTTACAAATACATTCATTGTAATACTTCAAGCTAAATAACTCAGATGTGCCAGAGAATCCTGGTCCCCAGGGAACAACTTCCATGTTTATTACTTTTGTCCCTATGAGAAAATACTCTTTTTACCCCAATCTGTAAAAAGATGATGGTGAAATAAGCTAAGCTTCATTTTATTGACAACTGCAAGTGTTAGAAAACTGTTAGTGTACGTAAGGTTTCTGGAGCTTCCTAGAACTTTATCTTTATGGGTGGGTTCTGACTCTCTATTTTGCACTCTTCTTGGTATTTATTTCTCGAAAAGGAGACTGAACATAAGTATTTCCCTTTTGTTTGACACATAATGCCTGGATCTATAAACTTCTCTCTTGCTGGACTAAATTTAAAGAGCTATGTGTTGCCTACCTGACATTGATCTTTCGTGACTCACCTTTACCTGACTGGAGTCAATGAACGGTCTGTGGACAGACAGCCTTCTGGCTGCATTGCCTTTGATTGGAGGCATTTTCCTTCTGTTTGCATTGTTTACACTCTAGGTCATAAAGCTGTCTTCTTCACCAGATGGGAACCTCCTCAATATATCTCAGTAGTTGAAGTGGCTTGTGAAATCCTGTGAAGTGGAGAGCTGTTCGAAATGTTTTTCATGCTTCCTCCTTTCTCCCTCAGTACCACCCGATGTGCCTCCTGCTGTCTTCCAGCTCCACCCTCTCTGTCAGCTTGATGGATTTGTCCATTTATAGTGTCTATTGAAAGTCACTTCTCCTTGGGCAAGTACTGCCACATTTTTCTCTGTCTGCCTCTTTTGACTTTTATGCCCATTCTGTATTTTGTCAATGGCTTTATTGAGCTGCCATTTTGTATTGAAAGTGATCTTGGTCTTTCTAAAAAAGCAGATTTAGCTTTTTGCAAAAACTTATCTTTTGAGAGTTTTAGGGCCCTTGTTGTTAATTAGTTTCATCTAATGACAACCTTCTCCCAAAAACAAGGGCAAAAATTTTACAAAGCCTGCTTCTAAAAAAGGAACTTTAAATTAATTTGATCTTGAGAGAAGGGCAACAAGTTTGGAATCTCATTACTAGGGTGAGAAGGAAAAGAGTTGATTCTAGTCCCAGCTCTGCCATCAACTAACTATATGGCCTTAACCTTACTTTTCTAGGTCTCAGTTTCCTGGTCAGTTAAATGAAGGAATTGGCTCTCTAGGGCACTTTCAGCTCTGCCCTTATGGAATTCTCTAACAAATGAATGTAGTCAAAATTAAAAAGTCAGTACTGTGAATCAGCTATATAGATTTAGCTTACCTTTCTTAAGATTTTGTTTTAAAATTTTGTATATGGAGACATTCTTATAACAGAAGTCAATCTTACTAAGTTTCATCACAAGCATACACACAAAATGTAACATAATGCAAAGTCCAAGTAATGGCTTACCTAACTTAGCAATATTCAACATAACAATCAAAGCCAAGTACAAAAAAAGACATTGGACAGTTTTTTTGGCATTAAACTTCAAATTTGATCTGTTAATTTATTTTATGTAGAATCATGTAAATGTTGATGCACATTTAAATTTTTAAACTATTTCACCAGCTTTGTGGAAATTAGATGTGTAGTATATATACACTGCTATTTCTTTCTTTTCATAGATAGTTTAAACATATTTATTTTTAAAAAGCGTCTGGTGACATAGATTTCCAGGGAGTGGTTGCTATGTCAACACACATTCACTAGGCATCATCTGTGTGCCAGGCATTGTGGAGATGACAAAGACTTTTATTCCAATATATGACCATTGTCCTTAGGAAGCCTACAGTCTACTTGGACAAATAAGACTTAAGGAAATAAAAATGTAAATAATGATTAAAAATCATGGCTCCCAAGTTTTTGTTTATATGTTCATTTTTGCATTTATGACAATTATATCTCTTTTTTAAATTTTACTTTAAGTTCTGGGATACATGTGCAGAACGTGCAGGTTTGTTACATAGGTATACATGTGCCACGGTGGTTTGCTGCACCTAACAACCCGTCATCTAGGTTTTAAGCCCCACATGCATTAGGTATTTGTCCTAATGCCCTCCCTCCCCTTAGCCCCCACCCCCTGCCAGGCCTGGTAGGTGATGATCTCCTCCCTGTGTCCATGTGTTCTCATTGTTCAACTCCCACTTATGAGTGAGAACATGTGGTGTTTGGTTTTCTGTTCTTGTGTTAGTTTGCTGAGAATGATGGTTTCCAGCTTCATCCATGTCCCTGCAGAATGGGAGAAAAAATTTCCAATCTACCCATCTGACAAAGGTCTAATATCCAGAATCTACAAAGAACTTAAACAAATTTACCAGGTTTTTTGGTTTGTTTGTTTGTTTTTGTTTTTGAGATGGAGTTTTGCTCTTGTTGCCCAGGCTGGAGTGCAGTGGCGCAATCTTGATTCACTACAACCTCCGCCTCCCAGGTTCAAGTGATTCCCCTGCCTCAGCCTCCTGAGTAGCTGGGATTACAAGCGTGCACCACCACACCCAGCTAATTTTTTGTATTTTTAGTAGAGATGGGGTTTCATCCTGTTGGCCAGGCTGGTCTCAAACTCCTGACCTCAAGTGATCCACCCACCTCAGCCTCCCAAAGTGCAGGGATTACAGTCATGTGCTACCACGCCTAGCTAATTTTTTGTATTTTTAGTAGAGATGGGGTTTCATTTTGTGGGCCAGGCTGGTCTTGAACTCCTGACCTCAGGTGATCCACCTGCCTCGGCCTCCCAAAGTGCAGGGATTACAGGCATGTGCCACCACTCCCAGCTAATTTTTTGTATTTTCAGTAGAGACAGGGTTTCATCCTGTTGGCCAAGCTGGTCTTGAACTCCTGACCTCAGGTGATCCACCTGCCTCAACCTCCCAAAGTGCAGGGATTACAGGCGTGAGCCACCACGCCCTGCCGGTATTTTTTAAAAGAACCTGATAAACTGATTCTACAGTTCATTGGGAAGAATAAATGGGCAAGAACTGCCAGGAAAATATTGAAAAAAAAGGAATAAGCATTGGTTAGAGAGACAGTGTGCTTATACTACCAGTTATTCAGATATTGCAATGATAAAAGTCTGTAACAATGTAGGATCAAAAAAGATAATAGAAACAGATCCAAGTATTTGTGTGTGTGTGTGTCTGAGTGTGTGGTCAGTGGGACAAGATAATATGGGATAACTGATAAACTCTTGTGAAATAATAACAATAGATGCTTCATAGTATATATTAAAATATATCCAAGATGCCCTAAAAGTTAAATGTAAAAATGAACAGAAGAAAATATAGGGTGAATCTCTATGTAAATTTGGTGTGGGAAAGGCAGTTTTAACTAACACAGTTAAAGAAAGTTTGTTCAATTTAACAAAAGAAAGATTAAAATACATTTTATTTATCAAAAAGCCTAGACATTAAGAAAGACGGGAGGAATAGGCACTAGTGTTCTACAGCACTGTAGGATGACTATAGTTAACAATAATACATCATGTAATTTCAATAGCTAGAAGGAGGTATGGAATGTTCCCAACACAAAGAAATGACACATGGTTGAGATGATGGATATGCTAATTACCCTGATCTGATCATTATGCATTACGGATATCAAAACATCACTATATACCCTATGAATAGGTACAATTATTATACATCAATTAAAAAATAAAACTTAAAAAAGCTAGAAAAAACACTAACCATAAAATAAGTGGATGTGCAAAGCAATGGAATATTTTTAAAAAGCTCAGACAATTTTAATCTGTAATGACAGAAAAACGCACAACAATAGTTGCCTGGTACCAGGGGTGGGTTGGAGATTGACTTGGAAAAGGCATGAAAAAATTTGGCAAAATGGGCCAGACACAAACAGGAGAGCAAAAGGACGGTAACCACGTGGAAAGAAATTCAATGCCACTATTAATTGCAGAGTGCAAAACTCAGACATGCAGGTATCATTCTCACTTATCACACTGGCAAGGAGGAAAAAGAATAATCAATGTTTTGGATGAGTATATGGGGAATATACACTCTCTGCAAATGACATTTTGATGCAGCTTAATAAACAAATCAATAAACGTTCAGATTTTGAAAATTATCAAGTAAATGCACATAGATATCCTCACTGATTCTGGAGCCTGCCATCTCCATCCTAAACTCTCTTCTCATCTAGGACTCTATCCCATTCCTGTCCTCCTCTTCTCCTTGAGCCTCCTCTATTCTTCCTTCATCCCTGAACCTCATCCCATTCTTAAACCTCACTCCATCTCTCATTCTGTATTGTAACTTCTACTCTTAAACTTGTATAAACTTGTATATTCATGATTATTCACTGCAGTATGTATTAGCTTTTGCTGTTAACCAACGACCCCAAATCTTATAGCAGCCATGTAATTAGTTCACAGTTCTGTGGGTCAGCTGTGTGGTTCTCCTCATCTGGGTAGCTTGTCCAGTCCCTGCTGGGTGTCTGGGAGAGGATGGCGAATTGGAGGGCGCTGGATGATGGAGGCTAACCACAGGCGTGGTGGTTGGCAACCTGTTGGCAGGGCTGATGGGGCAGCAGGCAAGCCTGGACTTCTTCACACGATGGCCATCATGGGGTCCCAAGAGCAGCAAGAGAGCCAGTCCCAGTGTGCAGCTCACGCCAAGTCTCTGCTGGGTACACTTGCGGACACAAGCAGTGTTGGCCAAAGTACATCACACAGCCAGTGCAGATTTGAGGAGTGGAGAAATAGGCTCCACTTCTTGACAATGGGGATACTATGCGGGCAAGTTTTATAATCTGCCACATAACATTATTTATGATAATGAATGTTGGAAACTACCTAAATGTACACAAGAATGGTCAGATAAAACATAGTTCAACCACACACTGCAAAATGCATAATATCCTAGAAAAACATTTTTGTCTATGTAGATGCTGTGTGAAAATACAAAACAAAATGTGCTGCCTAAAACCACTTCAGTAGGGGGACAAACATCTAATAAAATGACTAGAAGGACACAACCTAACATGTTATCTACCAGTCCTATGTCTGATTAGCAGGATTATGAGAGATATTTACTTTATACTCTCCAGTTTTCTCTATTTTCTGATAGAGCACATGAGGCCATATTATGTGTAATTAAGGTACAGGTCAATCTGCTTTTACAGCCTGGCTCTCTCTCTTGTTGCCTATTTGAATGCAGGTGAGTTACCAAAACTCTTCAAGCCTCAGCTTCTTTATCTATAAAATGAGGGTTATGATGATGCCTACCTTGTAAAATTGTGATGAGGATAAATTGAGATATTTCATGTGAAGGGCTTCACATATTACTGGGCACATAATAACTGATCAGTGAATGTTAGATAAGAAGCCATTATTTTTGTAATTAGAGGAAAGTAACAATATCATTTAGTATGAAAGACATAAATTTATAATAGGATTTGGAATTTTTTAGCATCCACTGCTTGAGGAAATAGATGAAAAAAAGTAGTCAATAACTTTTAGTAATGCCTTCTACTGGATTTGTATTTTATTAATCTTATTAATACCAATATGAAAAATAGTAATGTATATAATATGTTGGAAGTATTTACTAAATCCACAGATGATTTGTGCTGTGCAAAGGGATTTGAAGCCCCACCAATGATTTTTGTCTCACCAGTTGGGAGCCAATTATTTTAGGCAACAAAAGAAAAGATACAATGAAGCAGAGTCTGATCAATTGTCGATTTGATTGTCTAGGCAGTCAGTGGATAACGCTGGTAGTCTAACATTTCTTAAACGATGTTAAAGACTTTTTCTCCATTACAAATGACACCATAATTGTTTATGACCCTTTAAATATGATCACCCACAGTTTGGTCTTCCATCTTTTCCTTTTTTGTTTCAGATGCACTGTCTTGGGGGTTTCTGGGAAGCACAGATCGCATAGGGTTGCTACTTTCTGGGTATTATCTACTGCTATTATGAGGCTTGTAAAGGGGTCATTTATTCCAGAATTGTTAGCTAACTCATTTGATAACAGGGTAAGGCCTTGTAAGGCTTTTGTTATTGTTCCATCAGGGTCAGTGTTATTGGGAATAAAAGTACAATATTGGACTTCAATCATGACACAAACCCTACCTTTTTTTTTTTTAGCTAATATCATGTCAAGGGCTATTCTATTTTCCCAGGCCATTTGGCTGGTAGGGCCTAATTGTTCAAGTATTCCTTTAATAGTATATCTAGTATAATTAACACAGTGTTGTTGATTATAATAGACATAATTTATCTAAGCTACATTCTTGTTTACAGTTGACCACCAGAACAATATAGACTTGAATCCTGCAGCTATTTGATTTCAGGCTTTGAATTCATCTGGTAACCCTTGTGGTACTCCAATAGCATCTATATAAACATGAGGATCAAAGGATCCTTGAGAGACATCTCTCTTTTTATGACATTCTGTTTTCAACTTTCTTGGTTGATGAAGTGCCAAGATGAAAGGGATAGCCAGTTGAATTAGAGCGTAAGTGCCACTCCAGTGAATTGGCAGAGTACCCAACAATAGTCCTCCGCAATACCACCACACATTCGTTCAGGGATGAACAAGGGCAGACTGATTGGTAAGCTCTTGAAAAGGCTTGGTATCACTGCACCCTGTTAAGTCTCCAAGGAATGCAAACGTTTCCCCCTGCTGTGAAAGGCACGAGGTGAAGTTAATATTAGGAGCTGGAGGCCGGATGGCCCTCAGGGGCTGACCTGCAGGGCTCTTGACCTCAGGGAACAGCAGTGAAAGAGTCTTGCATGACTCATCGCCTCAGGCTATGGGGTTCTGGAAGAGGGCTATCATACAGCTCATGCCTCCTCGGTGACAGGACCGCCCAAGTGGAAAGGGGACAATGTGGGTCTCTGGCCTGCCTGTTGCACAAGAGTAACAGTTGCTTTTGTTTAGCATGTGAACAGAATATTTAATCCATTCCAGCCAAGCATTTGCGTCCTGATACCCTGTTTCAATTGCTATAATTTGTTTTAAATCTTTAACCTCTACAACAGCTACTCTGGTTTTATCATTGGGTATATAATGAGAAAAGGTTTGGTTAGCAGAGAACTTAGGAGAGCGAGAAGGGGATGCAGGAGGTGGGGAAGCAGTGAAGCACATTTCAAAGGATCCTATGGGGTCCTTCCCTGAGACTTATGCTCCTATACCATAGAAATGGCTTAATGAAGGGGAAGAACTCTGGGGAGCACAGATAGTAATCTGTGCTGGATTACATTGGTTCAGCTGACAATTGGGAGGGGTAATCCCTTTAGTAAAATGAATATATGGTTTTAAGAAACTGTAAGTACTAGTTGGGGAGGTCATCCTTGCCCTTTAGTATTTCATAGAACATTGGACCAACTTCGGCAGAGAAGCTCTGCTCTAAGAGGACTAGATTCCCAGTTCATATTGGAATCTTCGTCAAACTCTTCCCAAACTAATTTATCCCAGTTAACAAATGCCCAATCTGAGGACAGCCAGGAAGGACAGAGATACTTTTCTGAGGTGGAGAGTTGCTTTTGACTTGACAAATCTCTGCAGGGTATAACAAGGCAAGCATCAAAGGTAATAGTTTGGGGTGAGCTTGACTTGGTTACATTAATGATAAGGGGATTAGTGATAGAAGGGGGAAGGAAAGAAATACAGAATAAGAGGGTTAAACCACTTTAGCCTTAGCTTGGCAGGAGTTGGTCCTGGAACAATGGTCCATGATTCTGGGAAGGGTGGTGCCCACTTAACTCGAGTGTGATGAGCCCAGCCCTTCTTGGTGGTCTGAACTGCTGTCTTAGTTGTTAAGAGCACTAAAAAAGGTCCTTCCCAAGTGGGCTTGAGCCTCCTTTCTTTCCAACTCCTGATGAGGACGTGATCTCCAGGCTGGTGGTGGTGAACTGGAAATTCAAGAGGTGGAGTCTGGGCTAGAATGCCTTGAGTCTTGAGGGAGGAGAGGGCAGAAGACAGACCTAATATCAGTTTTTGAGAAATTGAGTGATGGTTTTCCCAATTAAAAGCAAATAGGTCCCAGCTGTCCTCTGCTAATGGACAAGCCCAGAAGGCATCTTTTAAATCTATTACTATAAACCACTGGTGGCTGTATGGGATCCTACTGATAACAGTGTAAGGATTGGGAACAACAGCGTGTGTAGTTTGGACTATCTGATTAACAGCTCTAAGGTCTTACACTAACCGGTATGACCCATCTGGCTGCTTACAGGCAGTATTGGAGTGTTATAGGGAGACATACAGGGTTCAAGAAGCCCATCATGGAGAAGACCTTTAATTATAGGTTTTAAATTTACCCTGGCTTCTAAAGGATTAGGGTATTGCTTTCTCTTTACTACTTCCCTAGGGATTTTTAATTTAACATGAATCAAAGGAATCTGTAACGTTCCCAATTCCTGTCTTTTGACCATACCTCAGGATGAATGTGTTCTTCGTCTGCAGTGGTGAGCAAGTTTAGGAAGGGGAGGAATTTTCCATGATTGATTTGGAGGCCTAAGCCTAATTTTAGCATTAAATCTCTTCCTAATAGATTTGTCCTTGCTTCCAGAATTAACAGAAATTTGGTACTAGCTGATCAGTTTTTATATTTCACTTCTGTCTCATACTTAACTGGTTCCTTCTCTAAATCTCTGTTTTCATTTCTGGGTGTTATGTCTTCCCCCATCTCTATCAGCCCCCATGTCCCACCCAGGACAAAGCACTCTTAGTTGGCCTGGCAGAGAGGAGCTAAGCCGCTGGTGGGAGTGTGGTGATGGTGCTAGTAGGCCCTGACCACAGCCAGCCACACCTTTGCAGGGACTCTGGTTGCTGTAAACACGTGACTGGGCTGAAGTGGGCAATGCCAGGCACAAGAGACCTCCCGAGTGGTCCCTCAGCCAACCTGTCCCAGCTACCCAGCTGGCATCTGAACTTGCCCTTCTTCCTCTTTCCTCACCGGCTTCACAGTCATGCCAGGATGGGGTAAAATGACAAGCTTTTATCTACTTGAAACAGTCATGCCACACTGCCAACACAGTTTTCAAAGCATTATAGCCTTTAAAGAGATCCTTTCTTCCTCTCCTAATTTTAAGTTCCCAGGTTTTGCTCTTTGGTGTTCTTTATATGGCCTGGAAAGTTGGGGCCTAGGCTCTTTATAGGTTCTGGCCCCGAGTACTTTGTTGTATGGTGAACAGCAGAATTCTTGCCTTCTGCTTCTGGTTTTCTTTGGCCCTTCTTACATACACTTTTTGAGCCTTCCTAAGAAATTCACTCATGGGACAGTTTTTCTAATTTTCTATCTTTTATAATTTCTTTGAAATATCTGGCCAATTGTTAGTACAAAATGAAATTTTAACATTCCCTGCCCAAAAGGATCCTTGAGATCTAGATGAGCATACTTTCTCATTTGTCTTTTAATTGGTCTAAAAATTCTATAGGCCCTTCATCTTCCCCTCGCTGTATAACAAATGCTCTGGTAAGATTCTGGGTTTGAGGGACTGATTCTTTAATCCCTTTTTTTATCATTTCCCTAAGGTCTTGCATATTTTCTTGGTGGGATGCGTTATTATTGTCTCACCAGGGGTCTCGGGTGGGGAATTTTCGATCTGCTGCAGGAACATTTTGGCCGGGAGGGTGTTCACATTCCCAGACTACCATAGCAGCCCTATGGATCGTGCTTCTTTCTTCCCCTGAGAAGAGGATGCTTAGGATGAACATTAGCTCAGCCCAGGTACATAACTGTGGTCCTAGAAATTGGTCAATTTGGTTTGCTACCCGATAAGGGTCATCTAATAGTAACTTAAGCTCTCTTTTTAGGTTTCATACTTCTGAGATGGTTAAAGGAACATTTACAAAGCCAATGTCTCCTCCTCCTAGGGGCACCTCCCTCAATGGGGAAGAGAGCTGGAGCTGATTCCCCTGAGGTAAAAGGGGAGGGGCAATTTTGAATATCTTCTTTACATTGCTGTTTCACTTTGAAGTCCCTTTAGGGAAGGGTACTTAGGCTGGTAGTGAGTGGGCTCTAGGGACAATTTCCAAGAGGCAGGGTTATAAGGAGGGGGAACAATAGCGGTAGGAGAAGGGTCTGGGACAGCAGCTCTTGAGGGGAGGAAAGATAGGGGTGTTTGGTGGGGGAAGGTGACCTAGCAGGTCCCAAGGCATAGAGAGCTTGGAGTTCAGAGTTTCAGTTTCCTTAGGGGAAACATTCTGTGGCTTATGCTTATCTTTTAGAGCTTTTAGGGGGTAGAGAAGAACAGGTCCTTGTCGCCAACACAAAGCATAATCTATCTCTTCTTGGGAAACTAGACTCTTGTTATTAACATGTTCTATTAGAAGCTGACAAATGCAATCCTCATTTGACCCAAATTTTGGCCAGAAAACTGAGGGTTTGAGGATTAGTTCCTAGGTCCAAATAAAACAACAATATTTTAACATTTGTTGCTTTTTCTTATGCTTAGTCCTTTCATTATCTTTCCAATACTTTAACATGAGACCTAGAGGACTATTAAGGGGAATATCATTGCTGTTAGCTTTATCCTTTTTACTCTCTGTCTTACTTGGGGTATTTCCCATCTTGATGGTTTTAGGGTGAGGCTCAACTTCCCCTACTGGAAATTTTTTGCCTTCCCTATGACTGGAGGTTTGTGTGAGGCTCAATCCCCTCTACTGGAGATTTCTCGCCTTTCCTTTCTTCTAGAGGCTCAACCCCCACCCCCGCCCCACCCATATTGGGATTTCTTGCTTTCCTTTTCTCCAGAGCCTCAATACCCCCTAGTGGAGGCTTCTTGCACTCTTTTCCTTTCGTTTCCTCCTCTCTGGCTGCTTCCCCGAAGGGAACATCATGTCCCTTTTAACATTGGTGGGTCAGTATAAACCCCTGACAGGACCCCCAAAAGGCTGCTGTAAGTCATATGAGGTGACCACAGAACCACAGATTGGACTCGCTCACTCCGCACACCAGTAGTGCTTATTCACACACTTTCAACTTCCAACCTCCGAGATGTTCCGATCATCAAGGAAATACTTTGTCGCCACTGTGAGGTTTCTTACCTTGATCTGTGCACAGAGTTACCTGGACACCACAGTATGTGATTACCTTTTTTTTTTCTTTTTTCAAAGTTGTTGGTCTGTTTCTTCCTGTGTTGCTGAGAGTCCAGGTTTATTCATCACACTGAGTGAGTCTCGATTCCTTACCCCTGAGGCTACCGCAATGAGGCAGCAGGATGTGCCTCCTCATGGGAGAGGACCGGACCCTTCCCCAGAGGAGAATGGGAATCCCACACAGGCCCCCAAATTTGTTAGAAATAAGTTTTGGTGCTGCAAAAGAAATAGCACTCAAACAGAAATTTTCTCAGCAAGGCAAATTTACTTCTGCAGAAGGACGCAGCTTGTGCCAGTCACGATCACAAGAGAACACCGAGCCGGGGGATAGGGCAGGGGTTTTTATCCCTAATGCAATTGGTTCCTACTGCTGTGTTCTTTCTCCATTGGCTGGGGTTGGACTGCACAGTCTAAACTGACCTGATTGGCTAATGTTTGAAATTGAATACAGCTATCTAGGCAGGAAGGGGAAGGCTATCCATTATGGTGCAAGGCCTGTCTAGACTTGTCAGGACATGTCAGGGAACAGTCAGGGCAGGAAGGGTTGTTTACAGCACGGGTAACTATAGAAACTAGAGAAACAAAGAACTGGAAGAAGAGGGAATTAAAACCTTTGAAGAGGAATTTATCATCTCTGACATATGCCCCCAACTAACAATTCATTTAAACAATGTCTTGTTGACAGCAGTGGCACTGTGGAACTTTTTGAGAACTAACTACTTGCACTACTGTCCTTAAAGGTAGGTTAAATTGTGAAAATGGAACTTTAGAAATTCTTAACTTCAGGGCACCACCTGTTATCACAATTTCATAAGTTTTCTTCTTGCTGCATTAACACAATATGCTTTCTGTCTTTTCCTTCAGCTGAATCTTACAAACCTTATGACTTTCCCTCTCAGCCTGTATTATTTTGGACAGAAGAGGATTTTTTTTTTTTTTTTCCTGGGACAGGGTCTTACTCTGTTGCCTAGGCTGGAGTGCAGCAGTTCATCATGGCTCTCTGCAGTCTTGAACTCCTGGCTCAAGTGATCCTCCTTCCTCAGCCTCCCTAGTAGCTGGGACTATAGGTCATACCACCATGCCTGGCTAATTTTTTTGTTTTTTGTAGAGACAGGGTTGCCCAGGCTGGTCTTGAATGCCTGGTCTCAAGCTATCCTCTTGCCTTGAGGATATTTTTGTTTAGTCTTTTCTCTTACAGAATGCTATCATTTTGGTGAATTTAGATCCTTCTATTTAGACCTCCTCAAGAATCCTGGAAAATGTCAGCATACTTAGTGTGATAAATATCCCATCAGCTGAGCCAGGTTTTCTGAGTGCAACATACCCTAACAGGTAGGTTTTATTTTCTTCCTGATTTTGGCCAAACAACACACTGAGGAAGTAGCTTCAGAAAAAAAAAAAACAAAACTCCACAAGATCCTAAGTTCCCTTCTTAGACAGCAATGAATCCCACCCTGTGTCAAGAACCTCTGTGAAATTAAGACCTCGAGGTTTCTCTCCCTCTTCTCTACTGGACACCAGTTGCTTCATTCCTGCTGGCTCCATGACCCCATTTGATTGTCCGATCATTGGCTTTCCACCCACTCTGGGAGGCACACACTGCTTTATTCCTTGTGTGTCTGGGTGTAGAGCCTTTCCTCTGTGGCCTGCAGATACAAGGGATACAAAATGAAGCCATTTACTGACACCCTCCCTGTCTCTGCAGTGAAATGAACATATCTGTGTAGCCAGCAGGCCTTAGCCTTGGATAGCCATTGAGTGTAAAAGAGGCCATGTTCCATTGATCCCCAGTGCTCAGCTCTGCCAAGCCACTATCTGCCACAAATTCTCCCCTTCCCAAGTGTGTGTGAGGCTCCCAATCTGCTTCTGCAGATTTTCAAGCTAGTTTCAATTGGCACTCATGGACAGCCCAAGGGGAATTTCATCAGGTCCCTGTTACTTGAATGACCCCCGCCCTGGCTCCTTCACAGTCCTTGGAGATGTCACTCCCATTGCATCATTCGAACCTGTGGCAGCCACAGCCCCCACCAGGGAAATCTGCTGACCACACTGGAGCTGCTCTCAGCTGTACCAAGGCTTGGTAGCCCAACTCCCTCTTTCCCTGGCTCCCGTTCATCCATCTGCTCTTGCTGACCTCCAGGTAAACCTTTCTTAGTTCCTTCTGACTCCGGAGAACTAAGAGTGAGAATGATATGTTTCATACAAAAATTGCTTATGTCCTAAATTGTAATAGCATTTGGTGCTATAGCACTTTAAGTTCAAACAAACCTGAAGTCATCTTCTTCAAATACTCCAGGGCACCTGAGTGGGCAGGTCAAGGTGGATTCTAGTATTTGCAATATGCTATACCTAGAATCAGTTCCCTTCTCTGACCTCAACAGTTAGGGGCTGTGTAAGGTTTGCTAGTGTAGACTGCCAGGGTTGTGACATATAATTTGCATGTTGTGCACCATAAAAATCTAAAGAGAGATTAAGAAGTAAATGATGCCACAATGTTGTTCAGTGCACAACCTGCACAACTGTTCATCTTGATTTTAAGTGCTTTCCTAATTATGAGTTCCCTCTCTTGGGCTCTGTTGTCCTCACTGCAATATGGCCCAGTGCAGCAGAACTGCCTTCCAATCCTTGACCCTCAAAATGCTCAGAGATCCACTGTTTTCCCCACTCTACTCGCAAGATACTAATTAGCCATTATAAAAATTTGCAAGGGCGGAGAGATGCTATCAGAACTCCACTCACAACAGCAACTGAGCCCCAACCAATGGCCAGGCAAAATATCCTCCTCCAGTTGCAAGACCCTCTCCTCTCTTCAGATGCTCAAATAATTGCAAAGAATAGAGCCTATTAAGGTTTGACAATAAATATTCTTCCTACCAGAATCCCTGCCAAGTAGCCTGGAACAGGAAATAGAGTCATCAGTAGAGTCACAGCCCCCGTTTTTTCTTGACGTCAGCATCTCTTCTGCTCCTTCCTGGATGGAGACCATCTGCCGCAACTCTCTCCTCCGTCTGTGTCTCCTTTTGTCACTGCTAATGGGACTTCCAGTGGGAATCTGGGAATAGCCTCTGCATCTCTATTATTCTCTGCACTTCTTGTGGGTCTTCTGCCTCAGTGACATAGGCCATCTCTGATTACCACTTGGGCCATGTGCCCACAATTCAGGTTGCAGCCATTAGGTACCTTTATTTGTTTGAACAGAGTCACAGTTGGGCTCAGCAGACAGTGAGATACTCAATAGGTTTAATGATGCAGCATCCAGATATTCACAGCACAGTTCCTGGCACCCATGGAGACAGCAGACCAAAGAGAGCCGAGGCTGCTCAGACAAGCTAGTTGAAATCGCTGGTGAACAATTACATCTATATATAGAACTGACCTGGCTGTGCCCCTGGCTGCCGGCTTTGATACCATTCTTTCGGGCATTTTGAGGTCCCAGACCTCCTTCAACACTTTGTTCTACTAAATGTTAGAGCTGCTTAGGAAGCACTAACCAGGTACCTCATTATAGTCTTGTTTGATTTCAGGGAAGTGACGATTAGACAATAACCCAGCCCAGATCCCCATGTTGTACTGGGTCAGATTTTGGTCTCAGCTCTCTGTTGAGCCGGCTGTGTGATCCGGAAAGTCACTTAACCTCTTGGGTCTTTGTTTTCTCATGTCTAATACACAATGACTAGATCAGCAGAGAGGAGAGAAAATTGTCTTTGCAAGCTAGTAGAACTGGGTTTTAACCCCAACTCCCCACCACTTTGTAGCTGGTCAAATTGTTTAAAGCCGAACTTGCTTCTTCTTCAGAGAAATGGTCAAGTTCATGCTTACTGGGCAGGACTGTGAGAGGATGAAATAGGAGAAACGATGTGTGAGACACACAGTAGGTATTCAATCAATGCTAGGTGTTTCCCTGGTTCCCTGAAGACTGTGTGTCGCTTTGGTAAAAACTCTGGATTTGGAGTCAGAAAACCTGGATTTGGGGTTTGATAGTCTCAGTGTGTACAAATCACATGCCCTCTTTAAGCCTCAGTTTTCTTGTCTGTGTAGTGGTATTATCACTGTTAGGATCAAGTAGGATAATATATGCAAGGGCTGCTTTGGAAGCATAAAAGACTGTATCCATCAGAATGTGGGGGTGCCTTCTCTAATTTACACTCAGCTGTAATGAACTTCTGCCACTGCACCCCCATACCAGCCCCTCCACTGCACGTTGAAAACAGGCAGTGGATATGGATGGGATATGCTTTCTCAGATGGTTCACATTCATTTATCTTTATTTCTCAGCCTGCCCCTTGGCTAGGCTTTCTGGAAATCCTGGGCCAATCATCACCACACCAGGAGAGCCGCAGGAACCAGGCGTCAAATGAAGGAGTCTTTACTGATGTTCCCTTACCTCAGTTGTCAAACAAATGAGTCTTTACTGACATTCCCTTACCTTCAGTGATGATGAAGTGGAAGCCTTCCTGCCTCCAAAGTAAAGAGATGAGCCTCTGTTGAAATTCTAGCCTGTTGGGTACTCAGGCTTCTGTGTAATGGATAACTTAGTATAAAAACAGAGCACTCTGCTCGCTGACTTTCAGAGAAGTGTGGGGAAGGAAAACAGCATTTCCCAAATTTCCCTCCCCGATCTGCTGGAGCATGGCACCCCAGCCCCAGGTGCCCGCTGTCCGCCATGGGACACACAGCACAGCACACCTCGTGTTCAGCCTGGTGCTTCCCCCACCTTTTCCTCTCAAGCATTTCTCATTGCACCCAGCAACCCCTTTTAGCATTTGGTTAAGCTGCCAGGAGCTTACCACTTTGGGTATCTGGATAGATATTCCTTAAAATGGCTACTTTGGGGATAGAAGAATCAAGTGTATTCTCCTCACCAACACACCTGACCAGTGACCAGAAAGGCATTTCAGTAGGTTGATTAGACGTGAGTGAAAACGACTTTTCAATGTTGGGATCTATATGGAATAAGTACTAGGTGTTCACTAAAACGATGACATTGTGCAGTTGTAACAACCCTTTGTGAAAGTGCCCGAAGAATCTCAGATGCCAAAAAAAATCTATATCTATAGATATCTATAGATATATATACAAAATGAAATGTTTCCTAGATGTTTATGAAAACCTGTATTAATAATTCCATCTAGTTTTCATGGGAATGGTTTCTTGTCTCAGATAAAGAATTGCTCACTCTCTCAGCCAAGGGAGCTCATTATTTTGGCTTTGCTGACAATCAAAGAAAATGTCTGAAGTCCAGTTTTAGTTATATGGTGACATGGTAACGTCCTCTTGTTGGGGGCACAGTACTTAGGGGGCAGTGAGGACAAACAATGGACCCAGCAGTGGTTCCTCTTAAAAGGCTAAAGGCACCCCGTTGGAGAGGTAGTCCCATAGGAGACAGAGGCCTCATGGCCAGTTTGGGTGCTTCATTTTAAGGGACAGTAACGAACAGGAACAGGTACTGGGGATGTGGACAAAGATGGCAGAAGCTCTGGATTCCACTTCAGTTATGGGAATGGGGCTGTCAACACAAAGGCAAGGAGTCTTGGGGCACATGGTGATCACCCACAAATTGGGGGCTTTTGGGGGGGCTATTTAAGTTGGAACGGTGACCAGTGGGTGGCCATTGATATTGGATCAGATTTGGGGTAAAAAATGTCTTCTGAAGAGAAAAACAAATGTGATAGCAACAGGCTGGTGTTTCATGATGGTCTTGCCTCAAGAGGGCTCTTCACTGGACTGACTGGTGCCTTTATGAGGGGTGGAACCATTACGGCACCACACTGCCGTACCTCCTCCTCTTGGGCTCCTGGGATTCCTGAGACTTGGAAAGGGCTGTCGCCATGGGGTGAGTAGGAAGAGGAGAAGCTTGGTCCCGGGGCACAGCAAAGCCCTCTGTTTCTGGATGCTTGCAGGCAGGTCTGGCTGCCCTCACAGGACATCCTTGGGGATAGACACTAGCAGGAAGGACAGCTGGCCTGGCCCCTCGGGGTGGCAGGCAGTGGACACTGCGATTAGGTGAAAGTCAGGCAAAGACTCCGCCCCCAGTGCGGCCAGAGCCCTTTGCAGATCCCCGATTAGATCCTGGCTGATGGCGACGTGTACTCACTGGAAACTCCCAGCAGTCAGCCCCCACTGAGCTCAGCTCCCCCAGGCCCTTCAGGGCCCTGTGTGGAAGGAGCACCTCCCCCAGGGAGAACCAGCCCACTCTCTCCAGGTGGACTCCCCTAGCTCTGCGCTCATCCCTGTCCCCTCCATCTTCCCTGGCTCTGGGAGAAACTCTACTCCCCACAGATTCCATTTCTTTTTTTTTTTTTGATTGGGCATTTCGCTCTTGTTGCCTAGGCTAGAGTGCAATGGCACGATTTCAGCTCACTGCAACCTCTACCTCCCAGGTTGAAGCGATTCTCCTGCCTCAGCCTCCCAAGTAGCTGGGATCACAGGCATATGCCACCACACCCGGCTAATTTTATATTTTTAATAGAAATGGGGTTTCACCATATTGGTCAGGCTGGTCTTGAACTCCTGACCTCACCAAGGGCCACCCACCTTGGCCTCCCAAAGTGCTGGGATTACAGGCGTGAACCACAGTGCCCAGCCCCCATTTCTTATCTTTTTTTGTCCTTGCCCAGGGCAAGGTATTTTCCACAAGGGCTTTTGGAAACTAAAGCCAAAAAAAGACCCACATGCTATTTTTCACTTTATGCTCCATCTCATTCCTCCCCGGGGGCAACAAGCCCAGGACGTGTGGCTGATGGATGCCAGGAAGGTCAAAGGGGTGGAGACTCTGGGGAACAATGTTGGTTACAATTCCAAGCCCATTATCCCTACACTTACATGAAATCTGCTGTGTGGAGGTGCCAGGCACCTCACATGCACTGCCTTCTCTCAGACAGTCATTCACTCTTCAATTAATCTTTAAAGAAGCCTTCATTGTGTGTGCCAGACACTGTTCTAAGTGCAATGTGTGAAGTACATGAAACCTCAGAACCTGCTTTCTGAAAGTGAACCTTAGCACCTGGATTTTTACAGATGAGGAATTTGGGATACAGAGAGAGAAAGCTCCATAAGATTCACACCTGGGTTGGTTCCAAAGACCCCACTTTTCGCCCGCCAGTGCGTTGCTTCCCAAGGCAGTCATCAGTGATCACAGTGAGAAGAGCTCCTTGGGAGGCAGTGACCAGGAGCAGTGCCTGAGCAGATGGAATCTCAAGGCACCATTGAGGATACTCTGCACCCATGGCTGGTGGGAGGTGAATAAGATCATGTCTAAGGCAGGCTGGACTCTGAAAAAGTCAGGGGGTTCTGCTGACCTCAGGGAGCCAGACTGGCAGTCAGCTTGACTGGGTAGAGGAAGGAAGAAAACTGAGCTGATCCAAGGGCAGCCCCAGAGTGAAGGTGAATGATGTGGATATCATCCAGGCAACCTCCAAAGGGCTCCCTGACGCTCCCCTGATTCCTTGTTCCATCATCAAACATCCGTCTGGGTCAGGCTTTGCCCAGCAGGTAGAGCTGGAGGCAACACATTCCCAGCCACTGAATTGACCACACTCATGTTCAGAGGTTCTCTGCCTCAAGAGCTTTCAGAGAGAGTGACGCCCGTCCCCTATCCACCATGAATCTGACGAGACGGGCAGGGGGCTCGGGATGGAAGTCAGTCCATAAACAAAAGATGGTGGCCAGATGCCACCATAAGGGTTGCACTTGTGGTGCTGTGGGATGCACAGAGGATTATAAGATGGACTCAGCTTTGCAAAGTCAGAGACAGGCCTGGCTAAAGAGGTGGCACAGAAGCAGTGTCTTGAGACATGAGTGGGCATCAGCCAGGGCCAGGTGGAACAGGAAGGGCCTCCAGACTGGAGGCATGGCGTGTGCAGGCTCTGGGGAGTGGAATGTGGGAGGATTCATGAGTAGGAGGCAGCTCAGCCTGAGGATCTGCCTGCCTGGGCTGCAGCAAGCACACCCTCACAGCACCGTGAGCTCCTGGCCCATCCAGGACCCCACCTCTCTCACACCTGAGTTACTCTGACTTCCACCTTCCTTACTGGAATCCTCCTTCCTCACCCACACAAGCATGACCTCAGTGGCTCCCTGGCACCACTTTTGGCTCTTACACCCTGGCTCCGGGTGCCTTTCCCCCCTCCATAGCTCCTTGACCCTTTGTGGACCACAGCCCCTGGAACTCAGGCCTGGGATCGACTTCTGAATTGTGGGGTCAGTGAGGCCAGACTTCAGCCCTGTGGAGCCCTGGAGTCCCAAGAAGGGGCCTCAGAGCCCACAAAAGGAAAGGAGACATGAATGGGCATGGCTTTGGGTCCTGTGTCCCCTTCCCCCTCACTTCCATCGGTTTTGTATACCGTTCCAGGATTCCACATGAGGTTTGGTGTGAAAATCAAAAGTGCCCTTCTGCTATAGGAATAACAGCTTGAGGGGCCATGTAGCCCAGGGATGAAGAATATGGACAGGAGAGTGAGCTCTGCCTGCATCACTTCCTAGCCTAGTGACCTCTCTGTGCCTCAGTTTGTTCATCTCAAAAATGGGGATAATGGCTGGGTGCGGTGGCTCATGCCTGTAATCCCAGCATTTTGGGAGGCCAAGGCGGATGGATCACCTGAGGTCAGGAGTTCGAGACCAGCCTGGCCAACATGGTGAAACCCCATCTGTACTAAAAATGCAAAAAAATTAGTTGGGTGTGGTGGCACATGCCTGTAATCCCAGCTATTTGGGAGGCTGAGGCAGGAGAATCGCTTGCACCCGAAAGGTGGAGGTTGCAATGAGCTGAGATTGTGCCACTGCCCTCCAGCCTGGGCGACAGAGCAAGACTCCATTTCAAAAAAAAAAAAAGAAAAAAAGGTAGGGGGGAGGATAAAGACAGTACTTTCTTCTTAGGTTATTGTGAGAGTTGGATACAAGCACAACAGGCAAATTGTTTTGTAGGGGCTGGCCACCCAGCAAGAGTGGACTGATTGCTGGTTATGAATATCATCACTGCTGCAGGAGATGGGCCATCGTGGGGCTCTGAGCAGGGGATATCACTATTAAATCTGTGTTCCAAAAGTCTGTGGTCTGGCAGTACATTGGAGAATGGATTGGGGCAAGGGTGCTGGGACTCAACACAGAGAGATCCTTACAGAAAGTTATATTACAGCCTTCTCAATGGAAAAGGGAAGGACCTATGGCAGTGGGTGGCTGGGACAAAGAAGAGCAGGGATTCTAAGGAGACCCAGCAGGACATGAGGACCCTGTGGTTGTTGGGGAGCCTCAGAGGGGAAAGGGGGGATGCTGGCATCCTGCCTCAGGTGAGAAAGGTTTAGATGTTTCAGAAAAGAAGAGCGTCTGTTGGGGGGGGGGGTTGAGCCATAATCCCCAATTAAGGCTTTACCAGGTTTATTCCTTAATCCAGTCAACACCTAATATTAGGTCCACAAGTCCACCCTTGTCAACTTGGCACCCATACGTATCTCCCGAAACTACACCTAATTTCCAAATAAGGACATCAACAAGGTAATAGTTTTGCAACTATCCTGCACAAAACAGAAAACTCAACTAACCACGTCTCCAGAATTCGGCTTTCAGGATTTCAACATTCAGAATTGTAATCCTTCGGGATTGTGATTTTTGGAATTTTATTTAGACTTTAGAGATTTTGCTCTGTGGGGATTTTGATCTTTCAAGATTTTAATATTAGGGATTGTGTCTTTCGGGATATGGCTGGCACTGCTATAATGATGATAAGGTTTGTGAAACTGCTTGATGCAAGTGGTCAGAGAGGACACCCACAGGTAGAGCCAGGAGAGGGGGTTGCAGATATAGACTTAGGAATGGCCAGGCTGTGTAGTACTTAAAGATAAGGAGGTGAATGAGGTCGCCAAGAATGAGGATGAAGAATGAGACGAGAAGAGCAAGGACGGAACCCGGCAGAATGCAGGGAAGAACCTGGTGAGTTAGAAGGCTTCGGAGGCATCAGTGGAGCCCTCTGCTTGTCCCTGTAATTGTGTGAGCACCTGAGGCCACAGGGCCCGGCTGGCCATGTTCACGGCAGCCAGGCAGCCCGAGGACAAACACACAGTGACACTGGCAGGCTCTTGCTAGGGCAGCTCCTCAGGTGGTCTAACGAGTACAGGAGCCTGGTCAGAGCTCATAGAATGGGGCTCGGTTCAGCATCCCAGAGCACAACAGCTGCTGTGAAACAGAATCCCTCACCATGAGCCATCTGCAGTGCATTCCCCGAACAAAGCCCAAAGAAAATCTGCAGGGAAGTTGGGAGGATGCTAAATTAAGTAGGTGGCAGACATTATTTGATGACACTTCATCTAAGTGACAGGTTAACATACAGCCGAGGTGGGATGAGCAGGTGGCCGATGGAAAATTCAGGGCAGGGAACTGGGTTTCTATCTTAGAGAGAGCAGGGGTTGAGGAGTGCACCCAAATCCATCCATGGGGCTACTGACTGCGTGGAGGGGAACTGCCTCCCACTTTGGTGATCCCAGGGCCCCAAATGTGGCACTGGGGGTTTACTGGGTGTGCAGTAAGTATTCACAGAATTGGACTGAATGGATACTGCAGGCAAAAATAAAATTCTTCTTGCTTCAGTTCCCTGAGACTTGTCATGTGGAAGGTACTCTTTTTTTGTTTTTGCGTGAGGTATTTGAGTGAACATTGCTTCAGTTCTCTGAATTATTCCTCTTGTTAGTGCCACATTTTGGACTTGCTTTTTTACTTAATAAAAGGAGTTCATTGAAGGAAAACCTCTGAAAGTGTAGTGACGGGGCTGATCAGAGCCCTTGTCAAGGTCCATTTCCCTGGAGGGCGAGGAAGAAATGCTGGGTAAGTGTTGCATTTCTCATGCTGGCTGGAGTGCCTCTGGAGGGGTGACTGACAGCTGCTCCTGGTTTCCCAGCAGCATGAGCAGGGCCCATCCAGATGCAGGGGCCACCTTTCCATCAACAGTGTCCCTTGGCCTTGCCTTCTCAGGCTTTCTGGAGGAACTTCTTGTCGTTTAATCTCCACGCGGGACTCTCACCCTACAGCCCCATGTTGCTCCCCTTCCCTGCGTGCCTTCAGAAGGAAAAACAATTGGGCGTGAATTTCTAGATACACAACCACTTACAGTTCATCTGCAGGAGAAGATTTTGCTTTACAAAATCTAACATTGCATGTTAAATGCAAGCAGTGTTGTGAATACACGAGTTTCTTCATTTGTTTGCTCATTAGAAAGAAATACCTTACATGGATCGGGGTCTGTCTTCAAATACTTGAGGAGTTATCATAGAAAACATCATCCTCCTACCACCTTACTTTTGGGTTAGAGTTGGCTTATTTTTTATTTTGTGGGTTCCTACTTTACCCTCACTGTGTGCAGTCCCAGTGGGATTGCTAGGGAAGGTGCCTCCCCTCCCGAAGCCAAGGGGCAGCATAGAAGCTGAGTCAACCACACAGGACAGAACCTGGTTGGCCCTGTCCCATGGGGCCTGAGGGCCTGTGTTGTGGCTTTGAGTGTTGAGATCCTCAGAGCACCAAGTTTCCCAAGGGGTCAGCTTTCAGAGCTATGATAGTTCTGTGATGTCTCCTCAGGCGGAGGAGGAATCAAACTTTTCTGTGAGGTTCCAGAAAGACTAACTAGGACCAATGAGCTCTACACTGCTGGAAGGCTAATTCTGATTTGGAATTGGGGGACGGTGAGGAGATGCACACATCAGAGAGGTCTGAAAGTGGACCAAACAGCCTTGAGAAGTAATGAGATCCCCATACTGCACTTGTTCAAGCAGGCACAGATGCGGTGGAAGGGATTTGCCCTTTGGGAAAAGGGCAAGCTTGAACTAAGTGCTGTCAACACCCTTTTTCTGAGATGAGAGTACCTTTCTACATGTTCTTTGCTGATTCTCTCTACACCTGTGCATGGCCCAAGTGCAAGCTTACCACTGCCACACCTTCCCCATCTGTTAACAGATGCACCTTTGACCTGCCAGCATGTAGTAATAATGTGATTTAACATTTATTAGGGGTCACTTATGCCCTCAATTGCTAGTAGGCACTATTTTAAGTGCTTGACATCTTCTAAATAATTTAATCTTCATAACTACCTATGAGATTCATATTACCAGTATTCCCATTAGTTAGATGGGAAAATTAAGTCACAGAGAAGGTAGGTAAATGCCTGAGATTACACAGCTAGTTAAGTGTCAAAGAGAAGATTTGAACCCAGGCAGGGTCATGCCCTTAATCTCAAAACTGGGCAGCAGATGTTGTGATGGTACACTTAGTGCCTGTAAGGACAGGTCCTGTTTATTTCTAGGCGTGACATTACATAACAAAGATAATATCCAAGCCCATTTCATACACGAGGGCATCAGAATCTTACTTCGCTGAGCTAGGTATCACACACGATAAACTCTAGATGGAGAACTCTTGATTAGTATGATAATCCTTGCCTAAAGATGAGGACATTGGCAGGGGTGGGGTGAGTAAGGTTAGGGACGTGGTGGGCTGGAGACTGCTCAGACCAGCTCCTGAGCTGTTATTGCGCACATCTCCCCCAGATTCTGTGTCCAGTGACCTCCTGTTTGTACCTTGAAATAGGCCACAGGAAAAGTGTTTACACGGAGAAAATTGGCAAATGCCATAAATAGTTATGCTATGGAAAAAGAGATTTTTCTCAACTTGTGGCAGATCAGGCTACAATATAGACACAATAATTGTGCCGTGTCTTGATCTGAGCATGGGCCATTTAAGGTAAAAGGCTGCCTCCTCCGACTTCTTGAAGCATTCTCTTTCTTCCTCTCCCCACGAGAGTCACTCTTCCTATCAGGGGACTGGTGGCTCACTGCCCGGTTAAGGCACACACACAGGGCCAGCATCTAGCTTATCTCAGCAAGCCTTGGAGGAGGTGCTCTCCAGAGATGGATCTTTTTATAGCCACAAAGAGCCACGTAGTGCAATGGAGCTCGTCACTTGGCCATGACTCAGGAGCTTTGGGCTCCAATTCTGGAACTCCTGCTAATGTGCTGGGTGACCTTGGACAAGCCAACAACTCACAGTGGGGTCAGTTTCCTCTCCATCAAAGCAGAGACATCAACACCCACTAAATATGTCAGAGAGCTTAGAGAACAGGGCATGGTACATCAGGCAGTCTGCTTATGTGACAGTCAACTATCAGAGTCCAACTCGGTGGGTTTACCCGATGGGGATCTGGAGGTCTCTTGGTGTCTCCATCCTGCCTGGGGAGAGGAGGTGGACGGGACATGCAGGAAGGGAAGGGGATGAGGCGGGATCTATAAGGAAGAGGGTGGAGGAGTGACACAGGCTGATGGTTAACTGTAGGTGTCAACTTGGCTGGGCTAAGGGATACTCAGATTGCTGGGAAAGCATTATTCCTGGGTGTGCCTGTGAGGGTGTTTTCAGAAGAGATTGGCCTTGGGGTCAGTGGATTGAGTAAAGGAGGTAACCCTTCCCTCTGTGGGCAGGCATCACCCAATCCATTGAGGACCAAGATAAAACAAAAAGGTAAGAGAAGGATAATTTCACTCCCTCTGCTTGAGCTGGGACACCCACCTTTTCCTGCCTTCAGACACTGGTGCTCCTGGTTCTTAGGCCTTCAGCCTCAGACTAGGAGTTACATCATCAGCTCTCCTTGTTCTCAGGTCTTGGGACTCAGACTGAATTAGTTTCCTTGATTCTCTGGCTTGCAGTTGGCAGATCGTGGGACTTCTGGGCCTCCATAATCATGTGAGCCAATTCCCATAATAAATTCCCTCTTCTGGCCAGGCACGGTGGCTCACGCCTGTAATGCCAGCACTTTGGGAGGCCAAGGGGGACAGACCACCTGAGGTCAGGAGTTCGAGAGCAGCCTGGCCAACATGGTGAAACCCCACCTCTACTAAAAACACACACAAAAAAGCCGGGTGTGGTGGCACACACTTGTAGTTTCAGCTACTCGGGAGGCTGAGGCAGGAGAATCGCTTGAACCTGTGAGGTGGAGGTTGCAGCGAGCCGAGGTCACGCCACTGCACTCCAGCATGGGTGATAAAGCAAGACTCCATCTCAAAATATAAATAAATAAATAAATAAATAAATAAATTCCCTCTTCTATCACCTATCATTTATCTATCACCTATTGGTTTTCTCTGGAGAATCCTGACTAACAAACACACCGCTGTAAAAGACTGATGACTCAAGTACCTAGAATTTAAGCTGGTGGGGCTAGCTCTGACTACTCAATCCCTCTATGACTAATTTGCTTCCCTGGACTCCCAAACCAAAGAAAATGATCTGCTAGCTTGAGACCTCCAGTGCACAAATGCACCACAAGGTCGAGAGCCTGCTTGGGCTCCATCCATCTCCCCTCTGCCTGCTCTGTTACAGACAGAACTGCATTTCCCAGCATCTGCATAAGTGAAGCCAATTAGAACAACAAGCAAGCGATTAGAGGGTGGGAGAAGGGACACCCAGAATATTCCCTTTTTCCTTCTGGTTCTCATGGCATTTCTGCAGCAGCCACATCATTTTTGTGCAGCAGCCTCCAGCGAACTTCCAGACCCGGGCAATTCCACCTCCCCCTATTGTTTTCCCAGTCTAGGGGTGGTAGCAACTTCCTCTGCTGCTAACCCGTCCCTCTGTGCTTCCCAGCTCACCCATCCCTCTGTCACCAATCCCTTCAATCAGATTCCTTCCGTTAGAAAGACCTAGAGCAGTTTCTATTTCCTGGCAGAACTGACTGGCAAAGGACCAGTGGGAAAGAGTGTAGAGGAGGAGTCCTGGCAAACTCACTGCTTCCTCTTACAGGTTTCAGCTCTTGCACAGTGTCCTGCACACAGCAGGAACCCAGTGAATACTTAGCAAATGAGCCAGGCCTATGTTAAGGTTTCTAACTCACATGAGGTTCAATAAATGTGGATTTCCTGCCTCTGGACTCTCCACAACCAGATCGTCTCTACTTATTCCCCTCTTCATGTGATGAAATAAAGAAAAAAGCCCAGGGGGTGCAAGTCTTCAGGCGGATGTCCTCTTGCTTTTCAAATTTCAGCCTAGGCCAAATTTATCTCCCTGGCAGTATCACTTGGGTCATGTAGGCAGCACACGGGCATTTCATGCCACAACCCAGAAAAGGCTGAGGTGGGCACATGGGGGTCCATGAGAGCCAGGGAGCCTGGAGGAAAAGGCTGAATGACTTCTCCCAGGGCACTTTTTCAAAGCTCTTCTCCTCCTCCTCTTCTTGTTAATGGTCTCCCGTCCTGGCAGACTGAGAGGCTGTCCATGGACTCTGTCAGTGGACTCCCTTTGCCGCTGGCTTCCAGCTGGGTGTGGTCAGTGGGGATGTCTGGCAGGAGATTGGAGTGAAGGGGGATGAATGAAGTTGGGGCAGTGCTGGGCTAGAGCCTGCTCATAGTGGCTCACGAGAGTTGACTGTGCACATCTATTGTCAATTCTGCATCTGGTGACCTCACATAGGTAGCTTGAAATAAGCCATGGGGATGGTATTTAATACACAGAAAATGGGTAAATGCTACAAATATTTTTTTCTCCAGAGGGCCAATGATTAAACACTGTCCAGCATACCATGGTGGTGGGATATTCATTCTGCTGGCTTCTTCCTTGTGGGGTAGCTTCATGCCAACCTTAACCAAAGGCCATTGTTCCTCTCAAAATAGTCACCTCTATTGCTTTCTCTCCTTCTGGGCACTGCAGTATTTCTTGTGGTTTACCAACTCACCCCCAGCTTTGCAGGTAGCACCTTTATTGGACAATCCTCCATTGTCTTACTTAGAGTGGGCCATTTATTCCCTGCAGGAACCATGGCTGGTACAGTGGGGAAAGAGAGGAGTCATAGCCACTGGTCAGTTTATACCTGGGTGTAGGGTAGGATGGCCACTCATGCCCCTAAGTGTGATTGTTCTAGAAACTAGGTCTAATGCTTCCAGAGGGCCAAAAGAAGTCAGTAGCCTGGAATGACATTCAAATTCTGTTTTTAAAACAACTTTTTCTCAATGTCTTTGCCTGCTAGTCTTCCTATCCTCACAACTCTTTTAATACCAGAATGTGGAAAAAAAAAATCTCTTCAAAAAGATGACTTTGGAAACCCTCACATTCCACTGCAAATCCTGGGGAAGTGTCCTCACATTATGGGGTCAACAGTGTCTTGTTCTGGCAGCTGGTTCAGAGTGTGGAAGTCTCAGATCAGTGGCTCCCAGCCCACACTGCATATTACCATCACCTGGAAGCTATAGAAAACCTGATCGTGGGACCCCTAGCTCAATTAAATCCACTCTGACAGACACTTAAGTGTGTGAACTTGAGAAATAACCTCTCTAAGCCACTTTGCTCATCAGAAAGATGGAAAAAATCAGACCTATTTTACAGGACTGCCTGAAGGATTACATGAGTAGTGAACAGTGATTTGCATTAGCATGCTCATTCATCATTCTCCCACCCCTCTCACTTCAGCAGCCCCTGAGGACCAAGAGGGTCACTGCGAGGCATAGAGACTAATGAGAGGGGTCTGTGGGCCAGCACATGAGCTTCACCTGAGAGCTTTCTAGAAACATAGACCCTCCAGCCTCATCACAAACCCACAGATTCACAAACTCTGGGGCTAGCACCCAGCAGCTGGTGTTTTAACTTACCTTCCAGATGATTCTGATGCATGCTGAGCCTGAGACCCAGTGGTCTAGACGTCTCTCCCTTTATCTGCTGTTGACTTCTGGAAAGGCTAGCTGCACTGTTCTGCCTGCTTTGGCCCAGATTAGTTACTTTGGTGGACTGGACTCTCTCACCCCCCTGGGCACTTCAGGACCATTCTTACCATGCAGTTCAAGACCACCTCTCCTCCCAGCACCTTCAACCAGCTCTGCAAGGGTTATTTGACTTGCCTGAGCATGGAAATACAGGGTTAATTGCTCATGAAACTAGGGATGGGGGAAACACAGAGATAGAGTCTCCTCTTCCAAGATACCCAGGGCCATTATTTTGGGAAATTACTTTGCTGTTTTACTGTAAAATGGCTACTGTGTTTAAAATTATGACTACTGTTGACTGTCTTTCCTCATCAGATGAAGACTCTTGGGATAAAGCTATCTACCCTGGGAAATAGAGGCACGGAAGGTGTTTTTCCTCCCTAAAATTCCGTGGGTAGACGTGTGAGTGTGGTTGTCGGGGTGCACGCTTGTGTGTTTGGATGGGGTGGGCACGTAGTGGGATTTGAGGAGAAAGAAAAAGGGAAAGACTGTCTCTTTGTAATATGTACATTCCCCTACCTCACGGTTCTGTGAAAAGGTCTGATTTGGAAGTTTGGGACCAAGAGGGTTAGAGCCAGAATGTGTTGCTATGGAGATTTTCCAGCCTAGGATGCTGGATTTCATCTGTGTGCTCATTTTTCAAGCTTTGGAGGGAAAGATCTCTCCTTGCTGCTACCCATTGTCCCTGCAGACAATTCCCCACCAGAGAAAGGCTCTCCTTGCCTTGGCGGCTGCTAGACAGGACATGCTATTGTGCTTTCACGAACCCCAACAGGAGAATTAACCTCCTGTTTGGTTAGGTGCAGGCATTCAGCAAGTGTGAATGTTGGCTCTGAAGAGAAACTGATAGAGTCCCGATAGGAATCCAGCCTCCTTGGCTGGCTGGCAGGCTCTCATCTTTATAAAACGCCTCCTGTTTTCCCTGAGCTATGTTCACCATCCGTCACTGTGAATTTGACTGATGAACCCACAAGTACTCGAAAAGGATTCCAGGATTTGGAGGCCCATCCCTTACACAGTGGATGCAAATTAGCTAACACTCTCACTTACTAAACATGAAATCAACCCCTTGGCCTCTCTTCATTTCATGGCCTCTCCTATGGGCAAATTTGGCAGCAGTAACTACAGGGCATCCGAGTGAATGAGCTGCTCCACAAAATGAGTGCCTGAGAGTGCAGAAGTTTCTCTCTGCTGGGAAACCTGGCTTATCTCAGTGGTTGCCAATAGCTGAGTCATAAGCCATCTTTGATTGGTACATTTTAAGCTACAATCTGAGAGAAGGGGATGATGTCCAGGTGGAATTTGCAAATGGTCCTACAGCGGCAGAACAGATGATGGAGACTCATTACCTGACAAGAAGTGCTCTGCATTTCAAGAGTAGATAAAAAATATTGCAGCCGCATTTTCATGCTGTATAAGACTCACATCACAGCACAAGTGGGAAACAGACCAACCCGCTACAAATTTATCATTCAGGTCTTGACACGCCAATTCACCTTTCAAATCTGTATCCATGAAGATTCTTCATGCAGCATTACTTTCTCTAAATGTTTTTACATCTTAAACACGTAAATCTTCACACAGACCTCTGCATTGTTCATCATATCATTAGGCTGATGATGATGATTATGGGGTAAATTAAGGACAATAATCATAAACCACATCGAGATATTTACAAATCACTGTGGTGAAACTGCTTTATAGCTCTGAATAAAATCCTTGTCAAACTCTAATTAAATGTGTTTTAAAAAGTCATGTTCTGATACAGAGCAAGGTTTTTGGAACAGCAGTTAACCGAAAGCCCTTGGTGTCAGAGAAGAGGCTGTTAGGCTGCTTGTTGCTATGGACACTGTCAAAGGCAAACTTTGGTTCCTCCAAGGGCCTTACTAGTTTGGTCAGAGGCAAGAGGCCAAGGGGAATGATTTTCTCCACTAAGTTACAACTAAAAAGATACAGACGAGGATGTATTGGGCGTGGAGGAACCTTCCTCTGATGGATGAAGACAGCTGAGATGGATTTCACCCTGGGTGGAGAAGCCTGATGAGACTAAGGTCCTTCTTTCACTGCATTTATAGGAAAAGCTGCAGCCTTGTTGAGTGACAAAGATCCCAAACACCATGGGGGAAGGGGCCAGATGAGGCCAATCTGGTTTACCTATTAGGGCAGTTCAAATTGGCAGTTATCAAAATGGTAGTGAGGCCTCCAGATACTCGAAACCATGAATTTGGATTATATATTGAGATAAGCTACCTAATTATGTTCTCATACATATTTATGAATAGGAATAAGATAAAAACAAAACATATTACCTTTCTTACTAACCTCTCACTGTATCTAGTTACACTTGCTGTAGGTATTAATTTTTTGCTCTATACGTGAATCTTTTATAATACAGTGTTCTTTAGAAAAACTTGACTGTAGAAAGAAAGATGAGAACTTTAGTATGTGTTTTTTGTTGACCCTATGTTCATCCCCTTCACTGCCTTTGTGCACTCATGCCCCCTTCGCATTCTCCCTTCACTCTGTCCCGTGGGCGCTGTGAGTTTAGTTACTAATTGTCCTTGGCTCATAGGTGACCCCTCAGTGGGGAGGCTATGTCCCCACCCACAGGCGCCATCAGCCCACACCCATGGCTGCCTGACTGATGGGCAGGGGGTATGGAAGGGTAGCACCCTTTCCTAAATGGAAGACAAGACTGGGGTGAGGTTTGTGCTCCAGAGCCCCCCACTAGGGGTAAGAGTAACATCCCTACTCAGCTCCTTTCCTTCTCTATCCTGCATCCCTCACTGGCTTATAGTTCTTCCTGGAGAGAGCACACCTGCAATAAGCACTGTGCACAAAATCCCTGTCTGAGGCTCTGCTTCCAGGGACCCTGACCTGAGGCAATAACCACAGGGCAAACCAAATGTTCCCCAGGCTCAAAAGAAGGCAAATTGCAGGGCCATATACCTATCACAGAAAATACATGACCTTTGAGCCTTAACTTTGCAATCAGAGTCCTATAAAATGACAGCACTGTGTCATTTACATTTCAAAAACCTGAAATATTAGGTCACCAATTAAAAAAAAGAGGAAAGGAGTAAAATGTGATCATTGCCTGAAAATTTTAAAAATAAACCATTTTTACATGGCACAGCAATAGACCGTTTGAATGCTTAGTAGTTAAAACTAGATCATGTTTTGGGGTGACATATTTAGCTACTTCTTCTGTTTTGTGGACGCTGATATAAATACCACTTAGAATTCATTCTGGTTTTTTGAAATGATTGAGACCCAATTTAGGTCATAATGTTAGTGCATTACAGACAAATTATCATATTTACTATGCAAAAGCTGAGATCTAAAAACTTATGACCACAGAAAAAGCCTGGAGATACCATTCTCATAATTGCCCATTTGCAAAACAGGAAGTGGGGTGGTTAGTTTTATGTGTCAACTTGACTGGGATAAGGGATGTGCAGGTAGCTGGTAAAATATTACTTCTGGTGAGAGTGTTTTCAGATGAGATTAACATTTGAATCAGTAGACTGAGTAAAGAAGATCATCTTCACCAGTGTAGGTAGGCTACTTCCAATCCACTGAGGGACTGAATAGAACAAAAAGACAGAGGAAGGGTGAATTCATTCTCTCTGCTTGAGCTGGGACATTCATCGTCTCCTGCCCTCAGACATTAGCACTCCTGGTTCTCAGGCTTTTGGACTCAAACTGAATTACAGCCCTGACTTTCTGCTTGCAGATGGTAGATGTGGAACTTCTTGACCTCCATAATTGCACGAGCAAATTCCCATAGCAAATCTCATACACACGCGTGCACACACAAATGCACACACATATCCTATCGGCTCTGTTTCTCTGGAGAGCCCTGACTAATGCCGGGAATTAGTTATTTAGTGATTCAGATTGGGAAATCCATGTAGCTTTTTGATGAAATTGGCCATGGTGTGAGATCACCAAATCTGGTCACACAGCATGTCCCATGCACTCTGGAGCAGGCACAGAGCAGTTGGTGAACATTCGGCCCCAGCACTTGCTGGCTTTGTGACCTTGGTCAATTACTTAATCACAAAGCTTCAGGCTTTTCATCTGTAAAACAGGCACAGCAGTGCCTATCTCATTGGGTAATTTAGGGTGTAATGTAACAATGTCCAAAAAGCACTCAGTTCCTTGCTTGGCTGAGTAGAAAATCTCAACAAACCGTACGTACGGCTCTGAAAGAAGGGCTAGACTCCTGATTTTTGAAACTTCAAGTGGATGTTTATATAAAACACCTTAAAAGTTAAAATGTAACTAACAAAGATTACAACTGAATATAAACTGTGTTATTTCAAACTCTTCTGATCTTTGTCTATGTACATTCTTTTATATCGGACACAGATGTACTAGTGGCATGTAAAATGCCATACACATGGCATTTTACATTCTGCTTTTTTTCAGTTGGTGTTATTTTGCATACACAGATCTATGCTTGGCATAGTCTATATATGTCATTTTTATATTTCAGCTATGAATCCAACACGTAAGTATCATAGAAGTTGGAGGCAGAACTGAAGCATTACATTAACATTTGCCTCCAAAAAGCCCCAGGGCTCCAGGATGCACAAAATCATTAGGCCAAAGCTGTTAGCAAGTCATTCAGTATCTCCATCGGTCAGTGCAGCTTGGTCTTGCAGAAGTCTGCACACTGGTTCCCCTAAGGAGGCCCCACGTTCTCCTCTGTTTGCCACTCCCCTTGCTGGGGCCACTTAATTCCTGACTCTTTTCGGACCAGGTTTCTCAACCTCTGCATCATTGACGTTTGGGCAACACCAGTCTTTGTTCTGGGTGCCGTCCTGTGCAGTGTATGGTGTTCAGCTGCATGCCCGACCTCCACCCAGTCAATGCCAGGACCACCTAACCCCAAGTCATGACAACCAAAAACGTCTGCAGACATTGCCAAATGTCCCCTGGGGGGCTGAATCGCCCTTGGTTGAGGACCACTGTGAGGATCTTTCACCATCATGGATTCTGGGCTCTGATGGTTTCCTCACTACAGTCCCAGAACGTCCTGGCTTTACTTCTGCATCATTGTAAGAGCTGTACTAGCTCTTTCCCAGGAAGTCCAGTTGCCTTTATAGAAATCAAGCTATATGATTGATGTCTAACATAGGGCATGATGTCTGGGGGCCAAAGACAGCAGGAAGATTTCTGCTTCACATAATTACCAGCAGGATGAGAAAGGCAATTGATAAAATGGAAAGTCCCTTTACGTTTCCAAGTCTGAGTTCCTCATCTGAGAAATGGAAGTAGGAATGGGAAGCTTGCCTAACTCAGGGCTGTCATGATGGTCAGCATGTTAAATAATTGACTCATTTGTTCCTTCAACATTTATCAAGAGAATGACATGCCAGGCACGGTGTTTGGTGCGTGAGATACAGAGAAGTATTAGACAAAGGGTCCGACCTCAGAGTAGAGACAGACACAAACACCTCTCTAACACAGTGGTTTCATTGGTGAATGTGTGGATCAACAAAATGTGGTGTGTGCAGACAGCGGAATATCACTCAGCCTTAAACAGGAGGGAAATTCCGACGCATGCTACAACACAGATGAATCTTGAGGACATGATGCTGAGTGAAATAAGCCAGTCACAAAAGGACAAACACTGTGTGATTCTACCTATACAAGCTACCTACAGGAGTGAAATTCATAGAAACAGAAAGTGAAATGGTGGTTGCCAGGGCCTGGGGGAGAGAGTGGGAGTTACTCCTCAATGATGTTAGAGACTGAACTGTGCCCCCCGAAATGCATATGTTGAAACCCTAATCCCCAGTGTGCCTGTATTTGAAGACTGGGCCTTAGGGAGGTAATTAGAGTTAAATGAAGGCCAAGCCCCAGTCCAATGGGACTGGTGTCTCTGTAAGAAAAGGAAGAGATGCCAGAGCCCCCTCTCTCAATAAGCACACAGAAGAAAGGCCATGTGAGGACACGGGGAGAAGCTGGCCAGCCACAGCCAGGAGGAGAGGTCTCACCAGACGCCAACCCTGCCAACGCCTGGATCTTGCACTTCCAGCCTCCAGACTGTAAGAAAATAAATGTCCGTTGTTTAAGCCACGCAGTCTGGTACTTTGCCATGGAAGCCCAAGCAAACTGATACAAATGGGTAGAGAGCTTCAGTTTGGGAAGATGAAAAATGTCTGGAGATGGGTGGTGGTGGTCGCACAACAATGTGAACATGCTTAATGCCACTGAACTGTACACTTAAAAATGGTTACAATGGCAAATTTTATGTTTGGTATATTCTATCCCAATAAGAAAGCCACACACCCACAGAGGCCATCAGAGAGATATGCACAGGACATTACGAGCCCTGAGAAGGGGGCCTGGCACAGCTGGGGAGGAGCATGGCAGGGGGGTTGGGGGTGGAAGAAAGAGCAGAGCAGATAGGGAAGCCACATAGGCTGAAGGACAGGCAAAGCCGAGATACGGAGGGTGAGAGGAGGGAGATGTGTGTGTTGAGAGCCACAGGCAGTTTGAAGTTCCGGGAGCTTGCAGTGGGAGGTGGGATGGGGAGGCGGCAAAGAGGTGAGAGCTGGCCTGCACAGCGAGGAGATGGGGGCCATGAACACCCCGGGAAGGAGACTGGAATTCCAGCCACCACTGAAGGCTGTTGGGCAGGGCAGCACCATGGTCAGTCACCTACACTGAGGCGATGTATGTGAAAGCCCTTTGCAGGCTGTAAACTCCTGCAGAAATGTAAAGTTCCATCACCGTGGTTATTGCTAGTGATGATGGCTGCAAGTGGCATAGAGCATCTGGTGGAACAATGGAACCTAGGGTTGCAGGGAGTATTATCTTGACTGCAGGGCCCCTCAAGGCAAGTTCAGGAAGCTTGGACAGCTCCTCAGAAGACGGCCTGTCCTGCAGATGCAGGTAAGAAACAAGGGGCCATAAATATGGACCAAAGATTGTTGAGAGCCACTAGGAGACACCTGGAATATAGTCACAAATCCAGACCCACAAATTCCGCCCAACAGAGACTTGGTTACTTAACAGAGCTGGCAGTGCAGGGTGGCCTATTGATGAGGCGGCTCCATTTCAAGAAAGCTCTGCAAGAATCTACACAGAAAAGAAAGCCTGGGACTCTGTTGAGGGAGCAGTCACAAATGTGAGACCTGAGGAGGAAGGAGGGAAGAAGGGTGTTGTTTTGACTATGGGAACTCATGCAGAAAGCAGTTAGACATTTTAAAGACTAGAAATGTGCTATGCACTGATATTTATTCAGAAATGGTGGGCTGAATATTTCCTATACTCATTATGGGAGCAGTTCTGCCCTGCGATGGTGTAAGCCCCGACTTGTACAACAAGGCTGGAGTATTGGAAGGTAACCCTGACTTTAGGTGCGAGATTTGTGACTTACATTTTGCATGTAATTCAAATATTTGTAGATTGAATCTTATCTCTTCATTGACATACATTAGAATCTCACAGCTGTAGTCAATTTGTTTCTGATTGACTTTTCCCTTCAAGGGCGTTGTTAGAGCCTTCCCTGCAACCCTTGCTTCTCTTGGTAGCCCTCAGAACACACGCACATGCGTGTGTACACACACGGAGCCCCGCGAGGCTGAAGGCTTTTAAAGAAAGCCCTTGACAAATCCTTCTAGATCATGAGCAATCATTTCCTAGCATTTCAGTTTTGAAGGTTCGGACTTTTCAATTTGGTCACAACTGAAATATGTTAAGCTCTGAAATAAAATATCATGAAGGCATTTCACACTTTTCATCTAAAACTCCAAAGCTAAAACTCAACAAATATTTATTTGGCATCTATTATACTTATCACTATGTGGAAAATATTTTGTTTATTTTCACTCTACCTGTCACTAAAGAATATTTATGGTGACTTTACAAAGAAGTATAAGACCAGACTTTCTGTTGGGAACAGCATCTTTCCCCCTTTGACTCCCTAGTGTCTGGCACAAGCTGTGGAACATAATAGACTCTCCACAAAAATTCTTTCAAAAAATGAATGAAAACACACAATCAATTCAATTAGGGAATCAGTATACACACACATAATAAAATAACTTTAAATATAAACATACATGGATATAATGGATGCTAAAGAAGTCATAAAAAAGTAAGAGGCGGTGAGAGCAAAAGAGGCGGGGCCAGCACTGATTGAGTCCTTACCTTGTGCCCAGCACTCAGACACTAAGTTCCATTTCCCTCATGAACCTCTGATCATTTGTAGCAGAAGAAGAAATCTAAGGGCCAGGAGGTTTTGTGTCTTGCACAAGATCACACTGCAAGTCAGAGAAGGATCTGGAATTTGAGCTCAGATTTGTAAGTCTCATCGTCCCTGTTTTCTACCCTGGCTCTGCCATGAAGTGCCACCAAAGGCTTTGAGAATGGAAGGAGGCCACTGTGGGGCTGGCTGTCTGGGAAGGCTCAGGGAAAGGAGGGATGTGAGCCGCACTTTGAGCCTGGGACTTGGGAAGAGCAGGGAGGGAGAGGGCCGGCTGGCTGGAGGAGGCAGCTGGCCAGGAGAGCAGTGGAGGATTGTCCTGGGAAAGAAGAACCAAACTGTGACAGCCTCGAGAGGCTTCCTCTCCAGGGCCAGAGCTGTTCCCAGGACATGATGGCTGGGCCACCAAATTGTAGACCCTTAAATGCCAGGCTAAGAACTGAAACTTCATCCTGTAGCAACAAGAGACCGTGAAGATTCAAGCCTGATTAACTGCAAAGTCATCTTAAGGGGAGACCGGAAAATTAAAGAATACACAGAGAGGGCGTGGAAAAGCTGAAGCTCCCTTTGCTAAGGAAAGCTGAGATCTGAAACACAAGCCTGCTCCTGCCCTTCTCTCTCCCCCACCGCAGCCTGCCACCTTTCCCAGCCCTTTATGCGCCTCCCTCGCATGACACACATAATCTAGTGACCTTGGTGACTAAGGCACAGAACTGGAGAGAATGCGTCACGCCCACTCATTCCTGCCAATGGCAAAGGGCTGCCCAGTTCAGACGTTCCCGGCAGGCAGCCACAGCATCCTCTCGCTCTGCATCCAGGGTGACTCAGCATTTGCAGAGACATGAATGTGATGCAAAGTGACTCAACCTCCCCCTCCCACAGGACTATCCCAAGCTGTGGGCTCTGTCCCAGGACCAACAGGACAGGTGCCAAGAGGGCAGGCCTTCGCCAGGCCCTGCACTTGAAGAGGCTGGGGAGGCCAGCCTGGCTGTAGGCTCCCCTCAGCCGGCCAGGTGTGCCCATCCCTGAACTCTCCTGCCATTGGCCTGTGCCAGAGCTGGGACCCCATCCAGATGAAGCCCTGATTTGGACATGAGGAAAAGGATCTCATTTTTAGTAACAGCACTGCAGATAACATGACGGTGTAGCCATGTGGATTCAGACTTAGAGATGGTCACAGGTGAGCAGCAGTCAGCCAGAGCCTAAGATGCTGGGGGTGGTTTTTGGAGCACACCTCAAAAAAGTAAATATTCTTTTTTATTATTATTATACTTTAAGTTTTAGGGTACATGTGCACAATGTGCAGGTTAGTTACCTATGTATACATGTGCCATGTTGGTGTGCTGCACCCATTAACTCGTCATTTAGCATTAGGTATATCTCCTAATGCTATCCCTCCCCCCTCCCCCCACCCCACAACAGGCCCCAGAGTGTGATGTTCCCCTTCCTGTGTCCATGTGTTCTCATGGTTCAATTCCCACCCATGAGTGAGAACATGCGGTGTTTGGTTTTTTGTCCTTGCGATAGTTTACTGAGAATGATGATTTCCAATTTCATCCATGTCCCTACAAAGGATATGAACTCATCATTTTTTATGGCTGCATAGTATTCCATGGTGTATATGTGCCACATTACATTCTAAGGAGATACAAAGTATGTATTGATGTGCTGACTTTTCATCTTAAAACCTCAATACTTCATATGTGAAATTCACCTCTCTGATCTGGGGCATCTAAACCATGACAAATAAAATCTCTCACCCCAAGGGCCTCTCCACCTCTCCCACGCCCTCCTTCTCACTAAACCAGTTCTTCAACTCCAGGCTCACTCCTCACAGATGCTTTCATTCTGACACAACACTCCTGGCTTTCCTTCCTCCCTCCCTCCCTTCCTTTCTTCCTTCCTTCCATCATTCCTTCCTTCCTTCCTTCCGCATCTGGGTTCTTTGGCCCTTTCAACACAACACTGCAACTTCCCTCCCTCCCTGGTCCAGCTGTGCTCGCCCAGTTGACCTCCAACCCTGCCATCTGCCTTTCTCACATTTGCTCCCATGCAGCAAGTGGGGTGGAAGAAAACCATGAACTAATTGCTGGCACTGGAGGTTTATTGCTTCTGGTCACAACTGTCCCTAGTCTGGCAATCCTCTTTTATGTCCCTAGCCAGACCCGTTTCTAACACTCTATGGTGCTGATTACAGACCTGTAATGCTCCCAGAGTTGGGGGCATCCTGAGGTGGGGGTGGTGGCCAGCATGCTGATGTTTACAGGTGCCTCCATAGCTGAGCCCAGCACTTTGGTGTTGGCAGTACCTGACACACCACAGAGTGATTCCCAACAGGAACTGAGCACAACAGTGGATGAAGACAGGGCTGCCGGGCACGTAACAGGCTCCCCATGGGGACTTGCCAGCTCCACTGAAAGCATCTGAAGTTCCTGGGTGTCCCCCATCAAGTAGAAGTAGAACAAAGGAAGTACTGTTTCGTTTCTATCCTTGGGAAACTGCTCTTATTCCCTAGATATGCGGCCAGGAAACTCAGAAGACAGTTTAAATACAGTGCTCTCCATAAACTTGAAAAAAGAAAAATGACCTCTTTCTTTCTGGGAAAAAAAAATATCCCTTTTTCCATTTAACATGTTTTTAAGAGGAACAAACTAATGATCTCATCTCTAAGTTGAAAGTCAGAGGGTGATTGGCCATCTCTATAAACTTAACGTCTTTAATGGAGGGAAAATATTTGCAAACTTGCATCTGACAAAGGTCTAATATCCAGAATCTATCAGGAATTTAAACAAATTTATAAGCAGAAAACACACCCCATTAAAAAGTGGGCAAAGCATATGAACAGACACTTTTCAAAAGAAGACATATTTGCAGCCAACAAACATGAAAAATGCTCAACATCACTAAGCATTAGAGAAATGCAAACTGCAACCACAATGAGATACCATCTCACACCAGTCAGAAATTGTATTATTAAAAAGTAAAAAAATAATAGATGCTAGCGAGGTTGTGGAGAAAAGGGGATGCTTATACACTGCTGGTGGGAGTGTAAATTAATTCAACCATTGTGAAAAGCAGTGTGGCGATTCCTCAAATAACTTAAAATAGAATTACCATTCAACCCAGTCATCCCATTACTGGATATATACCCAAAGGAATATAAATCTTTCTACCATAAAGACACATGCACAAGTATGTTCATCGAAGCACTATTCACAAAAGCAAAGACATGGAATGAACATAAATGCCCATCAATGGTAGACTGGATTTAAAAAATGTGATACACACACACACACACACACACACACACACACACACACACACAATGGAATACTATGCAGCCATAAAAAAGAATGACATCATGTCCTTTGCAGCAACATGGATGGAGCTGGAGGCCATTATCCTAAGCAAACTAACACAAGAGCAGAAAGCCAAATACCACATGTTCTCACTTAAAAATGGAAGCTAAATGTTGAGTACAAGTGGACACAAAGTAGGAAACAACAGACAGGGGGCCATATCTGTTGTTGGAGGAGGGAGAGGATTGAAAAACTACCTATCAGGTACTATGCTTATTACCTGGGTGACAAAATAACGTGTACACCAAGCCCCTTTGACACACAGTTTACCTATATAATAAAACTGCACATGTACCTTTGAATCTAAAATAAAAGTTTAAAAAAATGCAACAGCAATAAATAAATAAGGAAACATGTCTTTGAGTGAACACTGGTAAGGTATGCAAAAAACCAACAATTGATGTTTTTCTATTTAATAAAGCAGTAAAGTTTCCATAACTGAAATATAAAATATGACTACCCTCCAGAACGTTACACGGCTCCACAGTAACAAACTCAAGGGCAAAGTTTGGGTTCCCAAGGGTGGTGTTTAAAGGCCTTGAAAACCTAGGGCTAAGCTGCTTCACTGCCCATGGCTGGCCATGCCCCTAAGCCTCTCACTTTCCACACATTCTGGGAAGACTGTGATTTCCTGGCCTTTCTGCACTTGTAAAGCCCTCCTCTCCTCTTCTTGGACATCCTCCCCCTACATTCTGTTGTCAACTGGCAAACACCTACTCAGCCTGCAAGAGCCAGTTCAATTACTAATCCTCTCCAGAGCGTTCCTGAGGATTTCAAGATAAAGTTAGTCACCCTCTTTCCTGTGCCGTCAGAACCCCCGGGTCCCCAGACTCTGTAGCTCTTATCCTATTGTATAAGACCTATTGATTCATGCCTGTCCCTCCCATCAGGCCACATGAGTGCACGACAGGGGTTGTGTCCTGCTCATCTTTGTGTCATCATTCCCCCTGCAAAGCCCATCACTATGCCTGGTATGTTATCGTGAGTTGATAAATTCATCTTTTGAAAAAACAATTTCTTTTTATATCTCTGAATTTCTTGCTCATCATAGCTTTCATATCAAGAGGAATAGCAATTGGAAAATAACCATCCTCAAACAGTATTGATATAGTGCCCTTGCACATGAAACTATACAAAGAGTTGAAGGTCTAAAATAAATTTTGAGGCTGGGCACAGTGACTCATACCTGTAATCCCAGCACTCTGTGAGGCTGAGGTGGGCAAATCACTTAAGGTCAGGAGCTCAAGACCAGCCTGACCAACATGGTGAAACACCGTCTCTACTAAAAATACAAAAATGAGTGGGATGTGGTGACGTTCACCCAGCTACTTGGGAGGCTGAGGCAGGAGAATCGCTTGAACTCAGTGGAGGTTGCAATGAGCAAGATCATGCCACTGCACTCTAGCCTGGGTGACAGAGTGAGACTCCATCTCAAAAAAATAAATAAAAATAAAAAATAAAATTTGGACAATTATGTAACTACCAATGGCCAACCAGTATATCCTGGATTTCTATGATGTCCCTAGAAATGGATGAAAACACAGAAAATATAATCCCTGACATAGGGAGCTTACAGTCTGGTCAGGGAGGCAAGACCTACGTGGAATAAAACCATGGTATTTTGAAGCTGGAGGGGTGTCATTAGAGAAAATAAAACAGCAACCACCAAACAAGCAAGCAGTCAGTTGGTTCTGATGTCACAGGTGCCACTCCAGTGCTGTTCCACACAGGTCCCTCCTGCAGGTAGCTGCTCTGCCTGCCAAGGCTGCTGCAGGCCTGGGAGGGAGCCCCCACCAGGAACACTGGGAGATCAACCGGGAGATCTTAGGGATTCCAAGCTGGACTCGTGTCCATATTGGAGAGAATGCCCCCGCTTTGGGTTACACTCTGGTGGAGAGGCACCCCCTAGCATGTCGCAAAGTTTGATGAACGTTTTTGTCACATCCTCTGACTTCAGAACCCAAACAGGAGTCCAGGGAGCTGGGCCAACGCTGGCTTCAAACACAAGATGGCATACTACGCTCTGATCCCTGCCTCTCTCTAGCAAAGCCTATTCCCGAGTCAAGATCCTCAGGCCATCTCTTGTTTTTTTTATGCTGAGTGCTTTCCAGGGAACATCTTCCTTCTCCCTTGTCAGTTTAGGTGCTCTGAAAAGCAGATGCTAGGACTAGAGTAGACATGCCAGAGGTTTATTGGAGGAGACATTTGGTGACAAAGGGGAGGGAGCATAGGAAGGCAGGGAGGACCCTCAGACTGAAGTGCGGGTCTGACCCCTGTGAGGGCAGAGAGGGAAGAAGGATGGTCAGGAGGAGCCTCAGATGTCACAGAAGCCCTGAGAGTCCCAGTTGGGCCACTGGGAGTCCCTGGGCCAAAGCTGCCAGGAAGAGGAATCCTCCAGAGTCCTGGCTTTGGCACCCTCTCTGGGTAGCCTGGGGAGGTGGGACCTGGCTTGGCCGCCATGATGGATCCAAGGCTTAGCAGCTGGAGGCTGTAGTCAGCAGTGTTCTCCACAGAAGCTTCTCTTGCAGAGAGATTTGAGCAAGGCATTTCCATGGCTGCCACACCCTCGCAGGTAGGATTTTGTTGGAGAGCTGGAGAGCTTACTGAGCTGTGTCTGTGGGCCTTGTCCTGGCACCCTATTCTGTTCCCCCTGCCGTTGTAATGAAAAGCAGGAAAGAAGTGATTAAACTGCAAACACTGTGGAGCAGGTATGAAGTTCAGATTGTTCACAAGCCTCAGGTGTGCAAAAATAAATTTAGCTATTTCTCAGGCAATTAAGTAATTTCTCTTTCAGTTCAAGGCTTCTCTGTCAGTTTGGGGTTACTTTACTTTAATGAATTCAAGTGTTCCTGATCCTGGCTCCCTGTGGGGTTGCACACACATTCCAGGTCTCACCTGCTGTCATGACAGTGGAGGAGGATGGCGCCTGGTCACCACTCTGCCCTGGCTTCACTGGAGGTGTTTGCAGACCAGGGGCCTGGGGTGCTGGCCTCTGTCACCACCGCCTCTCCTGCTGCTGCCCACGGTGTCTCTCAGGTCTGTGGCTCACACAACCTACCTCATGGCCACTACTGGTATTTTTCAGCTGTGAACCCTAGTCCATTTCTGGTCTGAATTCCTTCTCTCTCCACTTGCAAGTTGACTTCGGCATCATGGCTGGTGTATAGTCTGCATCAGGAAGAGCTGTGCAGCTTAGACTGGCTCCCTTCAGCTAGGGTATTTCCAGAAGAGAGCTGTCCACTGAAGACTGTCCACTGGTGACATCTGCTGCAGCTAGGGGAAGAAACACTTCATTCCTGAAATGGGAGCTGGGAGGGAAAGCTTCAGCACGAGGGCACCTGTGGGCAGACGTCTCAAGAGCGTTGACATTATGGTCCTCGTCACATCCCGTGAAGATACAAATGGAATTTACAGTGATGTGAATTTAGACCTACAGTCCCACTCCTCTCTCTCAAGGGACAGTTCATGCATCTGAGGACTATGTGTCCAATGGGAGAACCTTCTCAGCCTTTCCTGTCTGCCTTTGTGTTCTCTTCCATCTCCTCACTCCCCATGGGCATTTCCACCGTAGACTGTCAGGGAAATCAAAAGCAGGGAAATGCAAACCAGTCCATAGCCAGCTCTGGCCAAAGCCTCACCTGGATGGGACATGGCAGTGGCAGCCTTGGCTCAATGGGTTTGGAGGAATTTCCAATGGCTTTCACTCCCGCAGCTGTCACATGGACAGTCGCAGTGTCTTCTCAGGGCGTCTTCCCAGCATGGCCACTACAGAATTGTAAAAAGCCTCTGGAAGCCCATGACTGCACCTCTGCGATCTCTCTCCCACCCTGCCCATAAACAGCCCAAAGGAGAATCCTCACATTCAGACAACATAAAATGTGCTTGAGTGGACACAGATTTCTCACTAATTCTCCGTGAAATCCATGTCACACTGCCACCTACTTCTTTCTCTATTACAGTAACACAGGAATGAGTCATAGTCTGGACGATCTTCTAGAACCCCCCGAGAGCTGCAAGAGCTGGGAAACAAGCCCAGGCAGCGCTGCCAGGCCTCTCGATATAACGCTGCTTTTGTGCCAGACCCACTGGGGGCTGTGCCTCTGCGACATTTCAGCTCTAGAAATGCTCCCTCTCCATTTCCAGCCGCCATCGCACACACGCAGATGCCTGAAATTCCCATGGCTAGTGACTCACGCCTCCTGGCTCGGCAGCAAGAGTCCTGAGCTCACTTCACTTTTGTTGAAAATGAAGAAGCCACTGGGAGGGGTGTTGCTTTAAGTCAGAGAGTGTCAGAGCTGGACGGGATCTTAACTGCAACCCTGTTCTGGGTGCTCGTCCAGCTGGGCACTGCCATCACAGCCCAGCCCGGGGAAGCCACAGGAGAAGCAGGGCTTTTTGGACTCTGCAGAGCAAAGTGTTCCTTACACTGGAATGTAGTATAAAGCAACACTTTTATAAACAAACAAGGATATGATGTGATGCAGAATGCTGAATCTGGGTGAATTCGTAAAATAGAGCGTGATATGTTGGCCACTACTGGACGGTTACTAGTTCCTGCACTCATTTACAGTGGCTGTGTGGCTGCTCTGTTGGGAAGTTTGGGAAAGCGCTGCTTAGACAACAGCAAGCTACCGTGTGACCCAACAATCCCACTTCTGGGTATACACCCCAAAGAATCAAACACGGGATCTGGAAGAGATATTTACACCCCCGTGTTAATGGCAGCATTATTCCCAACAGCCAAATGGTGGAAGAAATCCAAGTGTCTCTTAGTGATGAATGGATAAACAGAATGTGGTCATCTACACAATGAAATATTATTGAGCCTTGAAAAGGAAGGAAATTCTGACACACTGCAACATGGAGGAACATTATGCTCAGTGAAATCAGCCAGACACAAAAGGACAGATACTGTGTGATTCCACGTACATGCAGTACTAGAGTAGTCAAAATCATAACAACGGAAAGTAGCATGAGAAGGGCCAGGAGCTGCTGGGGAAGGAGGGGAAATGGGGAGTTGGTGTTTCATGCGGACAGAGTTTTCGTTTGGGGAGATGAAAAAGTCCTGAAGATGGATGTTGGTGATGGGTGCATAACATCCATCTAGTGGATACTGTGGCATCCAATACCACTTACTATTGTATGTCTTGTATCTTCCCCATGCACAAACTCCACCTCCTTCTCTGGACAGCTCCTGAGGGTTGGGTGATGCCTCATTCACTCTTACAGTGTAATTTTCCTAATGCCACTAAACTGTACCCCTAAAAATGACTAAAATGGCAAATGTTGTGTTACGTTAAAAGGGGAGGGCTGCATGTGAGAACACTAGTGAATTGCCAGATCACCTCATCCCACCCCTCCCTGTCCATTTCCAGGTGTTGGAAGCTGAGTTCAGAGAGCTGCTGTCATTTCCTGGGGTGCACGGCTGGTTAGTGCTGGAGCTGAGCCCAGGCTTCCTGACCTCTACGTCAGTGTTCTTTCCTTAAAAAAACCCATTGTTTATCATTTTTTTCCATGCTGATTGGAGAGATGGCAGTCAGATGAGGCAGATGTGGCTATGTCACTTGTGGCCACTCCTCTTTTCCAGTCCCGCTGCCACCACCCTTGTCCAGGTGTGCACAGCCTGAATTACAGCAGTAACCCTAATTTGCCTCCCTGACTCTAGTCAAATGCGTTTTGCTCACACTGCTGAGGGACAGACTAAGCATTTCACCCCCTGCCTCCCAAATGTCCATGGTTTCCCATTTTCAAGAAGAGGAACAGCAAAAGTTTTAGACTTAAATGTGACACAATTAATTGGTAATGGGCATGTGTCCTCCAAGAAGCAGATACTGAAATAAAATTCAAAGTGCAAGAGATTCTAGGGGATAGCCACCTGTGAAGCCTAAGGAGGTGGGAGCAGGAGAAGCTGAGAGGGAAGGAGCATTGGACAGGAAGAGCCCCAGATCTCATGGCAGTCCTGAGCGAGTCCTAGGCAGACAGATGGCAAGTCCTTGAGCCAAAGCTGCCCATAAAGGGAATCACCCAGAGGGCAAGAATGGCCCACTTCTAGCACCACTGCCAGGCTCAGTGTTGGCCGGAGGCAGCTGGCAGAAGTGCGGCCAGGTGCGAACACCCTGATGGATCCAGAGGTGCAGCTTCCCGGAGGTTTCAATCAGCTGTGATCTCTGCAAAAGGTTTGCTTGCAGGCAGGCACCTCTGTGGCTACTGCAAGATACTTGGTCCTTTTGCTTTTATATACTGAGGAACATCTGGATTCTGAGGCCATAGTCAGGCCACGAAGAAGGGCCACAATGGATCACTGGTGTTTCTTGGCTTTGTGTAGGAGGTGGTTAGGTACAGGGATAGGATAGTTGTGGCGCATCAACAGTGCATTTGGCATCCCTTCTCTTACACTGTTAGATAGAGTCAAATTCCATAGTCTGGTGTTCAAGGTTATTCATAACCTGTCTCTCTGGCCATTGAATGCTATGGAGTTCTCAAGGCAAAAACCGCCTCCTCCTTAAATCCTTCCCCTTGTCCTCTGCCTTTGCTCTAAGCCCCCACAGCCCTCTGAGCCTTACTTATGGCACCTACTATTGTATATCTTGTATCTTCCCCATGCATAAGCTTTATCTCCTTGTCTGGACAACTCCCCGGGGTTGGCGTGATGCCTCATTCACTCTTGCAGTGTGGTTTTCCTAATGGCATTGACGTACAGTCCGGTCGAGTTAAATTAACTTTCTCCTCTCAATGGACTCATCACATGGGAACATTGAATTCAATACCAACACGGGGGCTGACGCCTGGGCCTCCTCCCTCCAAGAACGTAGAGGGTTTGATCATGTGTTCCTGCTACCATGCAGTAAAAGGTGAGGCTTTCCTTTACCGCCGCATGTCGACCTGTCCTTCCACTCAAATAGAAGATATCCACAGCAAAGAGCCCTGTGTTTCTCTAAGAACAGACCTCGGCAGAGGCATTTTATAACATCACAATATAAGGACCAGCACCTTATTTTTAAAAAATACTTTTTAGGCCGGGCATGGTGGCTCACGCCTGTAATCCCAGCACTTTGGGAGGTCGAGGCAGGCGGATCATGAGGTCAGGAGATCGAGACCACCCTGGCTAACATGGTGAAACTCTGTCTCCACTAAAAATACAAAAAAATTAGCCAGGCACGGTGGTGCATGCCTATAGTCCCAGCTACTCGGGAGAGGCTGAGGCAGGAGAATGGCATGAACTTGGGAGGCGGAGCTTGCAGTGAGCTGAGATCGTGCCACTGCACTCCAGCCTGGGTGACAGAGCGAGGCTCCGTATCAAAAAACGAAAAACAAAACAAAAACAACTTTGTAAAGCCCTAACAATATATAAACGGTAGCTATTCAATATCTCTTCAGGAATAAAGCAAGCAAGGAATGCCAAAATTGGAGGCTGTGGTGGGGAAGGCGGCTGGCAAGACTCAGAACAAAATGTGCTGCTCTACTGTTTTGGCCTGAGCCAGCTTTGGCCCCATGATGGATCCCAGGCCACTGAGTTTGAAAGTAACGTTCGGCTAATTCCATCTCGTCTTCGACAGATCACTTCCTCCTCTGCTGAGATTTCTCACAGCACTTCATCTCTCTCTGCTCTCTGGTCAACCCCAGTATCAGTCATCACCACGAAATACATCACTCTGAAGTGAAAGTGTGCTGGGCCCTTCCTAATTGTGCAGAAATAGGCATAATGAGCTAGCCAGTTGTGCTGCCTTTTAAAAGAGAGAAAGAGAGAAATGAAAAAGAGTCAGAGTCACTTCAAGAAGAAATGAGCTATCTTTATAAAAGCAGGGGACAACTTCTAGAAATAACCTCCAGAGTGGAAATTTGATGACTGCCTTATTCAAAATACTTGCTGTAACTTAAAATACACTGTCAGGGTATTATAGAAAAGACACTTGTACTTTGCAGGAAAAAATAAGGCTTCACGAGTAGGAAAAATATTTTTAAATGATCTATTTTTCATAAAAATGTAGTGCTCATGATTTGTCACCGAGGCATGGGCGCTGGTTTCATCTAGCTGCTCTCATTTGCTCCGTGATACGCCTGTGCTTTCCAAGGACACCCAAGGGGCTGCACCCCTCCATAAGCAATGTTCAAAAGGAGCACGGGGCAAGTGCTCCCAGCGCCTCATGGCTACAGAGCCCTGGGCAGTGGCACCGGCCGCCTGAGACATGCCCCTGGGACATCTGGGTTTCCTCTGCCCATTTCTCCATGCTGTAAACAAAGAGTGGTCACTGGGTTGCCACCTACCCACAACCATGGCCATACATGCCACCCAGCAGTGGCATGAGTCAAGCCCTATCCCATTCCGTAGGGCAACAAAGCCTGCTAGAAAATCAGAGCCAGTGCTTATGGTTTTCTGCAAAACAGGTAAGATGGCAGGTGAGTTCCTCCAGCCTTTCAGCATCATGCTCACAGTCCCTTCTCTCCGCTCCAGATGACCCTAAGTGTCAGCCCAGCGATGGCGCACAAATCCAAGGATGTCACCCAATTCTACTGATGGCTGAAGTGGGTCTGCCCCCCGAAACAACTCTGGACAGTTTTCTGTCACTCCTGTGACCTCTCCTTTCTCCAGCTATCACCTGTTGGTGGTCCCTGATTCCAGACAATGAGTCAGGGACCCAGAGGGAGAGTCAGCGTAATCCCCGACCTCAAAGGAAAACCTAGACATGAGGGACAGAGACACAGGAGAAACAGCAAAAGAGACAGAGCCAGACAGAGAGACATGCAGGAGACTGCGAGATGGCAAGACAGAGAACCAGAGGAAGAAAGGTAGAAAGAGAGGTGAAGAGAGAAAGACAGGTAAAATAAGGAGAGGGAGGAAAGAGAGCAAATTGAAAAGGATTTTCTTTCTTTTTTCTCTCTGGTGGCTTGAAAGTTCTTTGAAATGATTCATTCTCTGTCCTCTTCAGACAGCAGCAATCAGCCCATGCTCATGTGCAACCTCGAGGAAGCCTTCCTGGCTCAGGGGAGGAATGTGCTCTTTGTCGCTCTCTGGCCATTGGCTGGCCCCTGAGGGCTCCAGGGCGCCCCTGATAACTACATTTAGACAGGCAGTCACAAGCCTGGGGACTGCAGGCACAGTGAGGAAGGTAGGGAAGGGTCTCTCCAAGACAGGCCCACCAGGAGCCCCCACTGGGAATAATGCAGCCCCTCTCAGGGGATGGAGTGTCTGGAATTCCATGGCTGAGGTGCAACAGGTGACTGAAGGTTTGAGGAGGCAACGCTGCCACTCACAGTCAGAAGCAGAGGGGATGAGATGGCCAGATGTGATTGGAATCAGACACAGTGAGGTTTGAATCCTCACTCTGTCCTTTTTGTTGTGTGGCCTGTGTGACAGGTCCCACAGCCTCTCCAGCCTCTGTGGGAAGAAGGATCATCTGATGCCTATGTAATAGAGTTGCTGAAGGAGTGGAAGCAGCTTTGACATTATCAGTGGAACCCACCAGTGCAGACTGCTTCACCAAGGGCACCTGAGGCAGCAGATCTGAGGATTAGGGACGTAGGGAGCTGAAGCCTGGCTGGAGAGGTGGTGCGCACAAGAACCCCCACATTCCCCGACAGGAGCCTGAAAAAGGTAAGTGGCAGCCAACATAGGTTTCACAGCCAAAAGTGGAGGATTTTATGCAGCAGGCCAGTTCTCTGAAAGCCCACTTGTGAAAGGATACGTTCTGGGGATACCCACTCCACCTACTTACAAAAAGCCTGTTTGAAGGGAGAGGCTTTCTGGCCATACTTGGTGAATTTATATATATTTGTCAGGCTGGGCACGGAGACACAAAAATTAGCCAGGCATGGTGGCACGCGCCTGTAGTCTCAGCTACTCAGGAGGCTGAGACAGGAGAATCGCTTGAACCCAGGAAGCAGAGGTTGCAGTGAGCAGAGATCGCTCTACTGCACCCCAGCCTGGGTGACAAAGCAAGACTCGTTCTCAAAAAATAATAATAAAATAAAATAATAAAATAAATATATTCGCCTTGTGCAATATTTCAATGCTTGGCAAGGGAAGTTTTTAATTTTTAACTAATTTCTTTCTAGTCCTTGGTAAAGCCATTTTCTGTCTTGCCTACATTTTAGCTTTTTAAAAACCCTTTCTCCAGTTTTACTGAATTGACTGATTTACCCCCCAAAAAAGTTTGTTTTAGTTTTTTATAAAATTTCTAGCAATAGATTGGGAATGGCAGAGGGAAGGGAAGACTAAGAGACAGAGGAGGAGTAGTCTGAGGGTCAAAGAGGGGCAGTTTGGTCACCAGCCTCCAGTGAGTTCTACCTTTGGGTCTCCCCTTCCTTGTGTCATCCTCTTCCATGCTGGATAGGAATGATTTGTGTAACCAAGAGGACAATGCAGAAATAACATAGCAGTTTCCCCCTTCCTCTCTCTTGGATCACTTACACTGGGATAGCAAGACGCCATGTTGGGAGGACACGGAAGCAGTTCTAGGGAGAGGAGCACATGGCAAGAAGCCAAGGCCTCCTGCCCACAGCCGGTGAGTAGCCATCTAGGGGGTAGATGTTCCAGCTCCAGTCTCAAATGACAAATCACCTTAATTGTGACCTTACAAGAGACTCCAAGCCAGAACCATCCAGCTAATCTGCCCCTGAACTCCTGACCCACAGAAATTATGGGAGATAATAAATACTTGTTGTTCTTTTAAGCCATTAAATTGGGGGATAATTGGTTCTGTAGGCAGACAGAGGAGGACTCTGAAAAGCAAAGGAGGATTTGAGGGACCCAGATCCCTGCAGTCCTGACTTCCCATGGCTCTCCTGGGCCCTGTCTACGCATCTGAATGAATTGCTATAAGCTTCATAAGCAGCTGAAAGGAATATATATTTTATAAGTTGGAAAATTTGATGAATTGGTCATTATGGAAATAGATCCTTAGATGAATTGACTTTCAGTGAATTAGTTTTCTGTGAGTAACCTAGAGCTGGAATATCTAGAGTGTTTTTATATTTTTGAATCATAGAGCCAGGGTTTTAGAAAGCATTTCACCTGAGAGATGTTAAGGTGAGGCTGATATAAATAAGTATCAAAGTAGTAGTAGCTGAGACAGAGGTTTGGGAGACATAATATCCTCTGTCCCCTCTCTCTCATTCTCATTACATTTATCTGGGTCATTGTAAGGCAAATGTAATAAACTCCCTATCCATGGATGACAATACTTATACTTTTTTATTTTTGGTAATCTGTGATTATGTTTGGGAATAAATTTGCCTCTACAGGATGATGATAAGAATGTAATTTGCAGATAGAATAAAAACAGAAATTGGATTCATAAATAATGTCTCCACAGATGCTTAAAAGATGAAAATTCTACTACTTTCACTAACATGTGGAAGCCTAGTTTCTTTTGCAGATACCCTGTGATTGCCAGCAAGTAAACCAGATGCAATTGTGGTTTCCGTGAAGCACAGCTGGAAAACTGCTGCCCCCACGGAGGAAGAGGAAGATGGGAAGATGGTGGTTACTGCACACCAGGCACCAGCCTCGGGGCTATGAGCTGTACAAACATTACCCATTTTATCCTCGTGACCATGTTCTGAGAAGGCTGTCAATGATCTCACTTTATACATGGGGAAATTCATGCAGACAGAGGCTGACTAAATTGCCATGGTCACTCAGCTAGTAGGAACTGGAGCTGTAACTTGAACCCGGGTCTTTTGTTTCTGTGGCTCCTGGTAGCACATGCCGGGCTTGAAGTGAGATCCGGAGGATGTTGGAAACAACGTGTTCCCCATCATGAAAGTCCTTATGATACCTTATGATGCAGAGTTGGCAGCCAGGAGCAGGGGCTTCCAGAAGCATGGCTGACCCTTGTTGGGATCTCGCTCCTGTGAGCCTTGGAACGTCTAGGGAGAAAGAGCAGCCAAATTTAGAGCTGCAGGAGCTTTGAGATGCAGCTCAGGCATCATCTCTGGGAAGTCTTTCCTGGAACCACAGCCTGGGCCCTGTACCTGATTCCCAGCCCCTGTGGCTCTTTTTGCATTTGCTGCCTCTTTTCACAATTCTGTCTCCTTATGTCTTCCACTCTACACGCAAGCCCCTTGAGGGCAGGACCATGACTCAGTCATCCTGTACCCTAGCACCCACCCTGGGTCTGCATCTGGAAGGAGCTCACTAAGTGATTATTGAGCCAAACTGAACTGTAGCAGGAGTGAGCAAAGCTAATTCATGGGTGCAGAATGGGAGCACAGAGCTGCCAGAATCCAGAGACAACTGTAACTGTCCCGGCACAGGGGGCTTCAGGCCGCGGTGAGAGCCACTGAAAGCAAGAGAGCCAGGTGGTGGCTCAGTTCACACTGAGTCCTGCTGAAGAAATAGGCACATCGTGTGTGTTAAAATCAGCACCCCATGCACCTGTAGGAAGAGACTGAGGCACCCTGGAGGCCCCTCCCAATAATTAAAAGGCCCTCTGGGGCCTGTGGGAGCCCTAGCTGATGAAATCACAAAGGCCTCAGCCTCTAAAGTGTTTCCAGTAAAATGCTACCAGGATTTTCCTCCCTTAAATCTGGATGAAAGGGCTGTCTGTGCTACAAAGTGCACACCTGGCGTTGATACGCAGTCTCTTGCTGCCTGTTAACTAACCCACCAGCCGACAAGTTCTGCCCACTGGCAGGAGCAAGGACTTATAAAAAATAGTGCCTCCCTCCCAAGGGCTTATGAGCTGGTTAAGTGCAGAGGACAAATAGAATGAAAGAAAAGGCAATCTCGGCATAGTATTTAGTTAATTCTTCTCTCTCTCTTGTTCCCTCTCTCTCCTTTCTCTCTTCCTCCCTCCTTTCTATGACTTGTCCTCTCCACACAACTCCTTTTCCGTTTTCCCTCCCCTGCCTCCCCACCTTCTTTCTTGACTTCCCATCTTGCTCCCTTTCTTCCTGCCTGCCCATCTGCTTTCCTTTCTTATCTCTGGTGCAAATTCTGCATATAGTCGCTCTCCTCATTTCATGACAGGCTGTCTTCATCAGTTTCTGAGTTCTTTTGTTATTTTATAAAATATTTTACATGCTGTCCTCAAAAAATCCCCTCCCCCAGAAAAGGCCCATTCAAAAGTACTTACTATACGTCCTTAGATAGGCAATGATCTCTGAAATATATATAGGCTTGCTCTATATGTGTTTTTGTAAGTGTACTTTTCTTTCATTAAATATGCAGATCTTAATTGTACAGTTTGAGGTGTTTTGACAAAGGTATATACCAGTAAAACCACCACCCCAACCAAGGTACCGAACACTTTCATCTCTCTGGAAAGTCCCCTTGTGCCACCTTCCAGTCAACTCTCACCCTCCAGAGGCACCCACTGTTCAGATTTCTACATGCATTTTGCCTGTTGCTGAACTGGAACCTCACAGCCTTTTACGTCTGGCTTCTTTCACTTAACATAATGTTTTTAAGTCATCCATGTAGTTCATTCTTTTTTTTGTTGCAGAGCAATATTCCATTGTGTGAATGGATGTACTTTATCCATCAACAGTTGATGAAGTTGGGTTGGTGGCACTTTTTGGCTATCGTGGGTAATGCTGCTCTGGATGTTTCTGCACAAGTCTTTATTGTGGACATGGGTTTCCATTTCTTCTGGGCAAATGCCCAGGAACAGAATTGCTGATTCATTAGGAAGTTATATGTTTAACTTCATAAGAAACTGGAAAACCGCACTCCACAGTGTTCATGCTATTGCACATTGCCCCCAGTGCCATGTGAATGTTTCATTCTTGGGGTCTAGAATATCTTACTGCAGTTTTAATTGGAAGTTCTCTGATGACTTTTGATAGAGTATCTTTTCATGTGCTTATTGGTTATTTATTTCTTCTTTAAAGAAGAGTCTAGATCCTTTTCCCATTTAAAATTGCATTGCTTCTATTTTTACTGTTGATTCTTAGAAGTTCTTTACATATTTTAGATTTATATACAGTAAATATTTTCTCCCAGTCCATGGCTTGCCTTTACCTTTTCTTAATGGTGTCTTTTGATTAACCAGACATTTTAAATTTTCATGAAGCCTATTGTATCGGGGGTTGTTTTTGTTTGTTCATTTATGGTTAGTACTCTTTTTGGTGCTAGCCAGGAAAACTTTGCCTACATTCTCCTAAGCTCATGAATATATTTTTCTATATTTGTTTCTAGGACATTTATAATTCAAACTTTTATGTTCTAGCCTATCACTCATGTATAGTTATGTATAGTATAAATAAGGATTGAAGTTCATTTTTCTTTCCATATACTTATCCAGTTATTCCAGCACCATTTGTTGAAAACACTTTCTTTCCCTCATTGAATTTCCTTGAAGCTTGTGCTCATAACTTATATAACGAGTATTGCGTTACAATTTCCATTATATTTCTTAATTTTTCACTTAACACAATGTTTATATGATCTATCCGCAATGCTGTATTCAGTCATTTGAATTCACTCATTCATTTTATCATTCAATAAATCTGCAGTGGTGAAGAAAACAGAACATGGCTTTATTCTCATGAAATTTATAATCTAGTGAGAGATATTGGCCAAAAAAATTATACACACACACCCAGGTAATGATAAGAGCTATAAAGAGAAATAAAGCAAGACAAACAGGAAGAGATTTAACGGGAGGTGCTATTTAAATCGGGCAATGGGTCAGGAAACCTTGCTCCTGGTCCTGACATTGGAGGAGAGAGCCATGGGCTCATTCAGCCTTGAGTTGAGCAATTGCTTCCAGAAGAGCTAAAAGGCCAGAGGGCCCAAAGGGTGGCAGATGAAGGGGTGAAGGGCAAGAAATGAGATCAAGGACCACATCATATACGACCCTAGAGGCCAAGGTAAGGACACTGGATTTTGTTTTAAGAATGCTGGGAATCCACTGGAGGGTTTTGAGTGGGAGAGTGATATGATATCATTTGTATACTTAAAGTATTTGGATACAAAGAAGAAGGGGGTGAGGAGAATGGACGTGGGAGGGCAAGTAAAGCAGGAATCGCCATGAGCAGGGAGATATGATGTGGCCTGGGCCAGGGTGAGAGTAGTGGATACATTCAGAAGTGGTCATATCCTGATAGACTTTGAAAGTAGAGCTGATGGATTAAATATGAAGTGGAGAGGGAAGATGAGGACTCAAGGGTAACAATAATAAAGTGTGGCACATTCAGGAAGGGACAGGTTTGAGGGAGGAATAGCAAGTGTGATTTTAAAGAGTTTGAGTTTGGGAGGCCTGCTAGTGATAGAAATGGAGATGTTAAAGAGGCTATTGTGTATAGAAGCCTGGAATCCAGGCGGGGAGGCTGTGGTCAGAATCAAAAGTTTGGGAGTCATTAGTGTGCAGATAATATTTGTGAAATCACAGAACTAAGAGATCACTTACAAAGTGAGTGACCCTGGAGGAAGAGTCTGAGGACGCTCCACTGGGGAGGCTTCACTATTCTGAGGTTCGAAGCATGGGAGGAGCACCCAGCCAAGGAAGCTGAGGACGTAAAGGAAAAGCCAAGAGGCGGTGGGATTCCATGAGCCAGGTGGAGGGAGTGTCTGCATAGGAGAGCCTGCCCCAATGTGCTGGAAGCTCTTACCAGGTGGAGGTAAATCAGGGCAGAGAATTGCCCTCGAGATTTGTCCCTGTGGGAACATTGCTGACCTTCGAGATGTCAGGCTTGAGGAAGTGGCAGGACGGGAGACTATTTGGAGTGTGTACTGGAAAGAAAACAAGTGTTGAGGAAAGACTGACGGTAAATAGGTTGAGCAGCTCTAGTCCGAAAATCTGAAATGATCCAAAATCTGAAATGTTTTGAGCACCGACATGATACCACAAGTGAAAAATTCTATGCCCAACCTCATGTGATGGGTCACAGTTGAAATGCAGGCACACGACACCCAGTTTATTCTGTGTCCCCAGGGGAAAAAAGATCCTCCCAGGCCCCTTCAGCTGCCATCTATCTTTTTGGCAGACACCCAGATTCCCCACGCAAGCACGCTCATGAACAATAATAAAATAGCACTGATCCAGGCGAGACACGCTGACTGCAGGTTCCCCTCAATGCTCCACAGGAGGCCAAGACCTCTGTGCATTACTTACTGTGTGTGTGTGTGTGTGTGTGTGTGTGTGTGTGTGTGTGTGTGTGTGTGTGTGTGTGTGTATTCTCTACTCTGTGGGATAAAGATATTGTTGAAAATGTCAAAAAGGCCTGCAGATAACCCTATGGGTAACAGTGATTTAAAAAAAAGAGAAAGTATTTATGTTTATAGCACAGGAAGTCAAGCTGTTGGAGAAACTGGACAATGGTGCATGAAACATCTTACAGAGGAGTATGGTGTTGGAATGACCACAATATGTGATCTGAAGAAATAGAAGGATAAAACTAATGCCATTCTATGCTAAAAGTGATAAGCAGAAGTTAATGAAAAAGTAGGAAAACACTGGGTAAAGATGAACACGAAGGTCTTGATCATGTATTGAAAGAGTTGATCTGTCAGCATCCCTGTGAACACATGCCACTTAATGGTATGCTGATTATGAAACAAGAGAAGATCTATCACAATAAACTGAAAATTGAAGGGAAGTGTGAATATTCAACAGGCTGGCTGCAGAAATTTTAGAAAAGACGTGGCATTATATGTTTAAAGATTTGTGGTGATAAAGCATCTGCTGATCACAAAGTAGTAGAGAAATTCATTGACAAATTTGCCAGAATCATCACTGATGAAAATCTGATGCCAGAAACAGTCTATAACACTGATGAAACATCCTTGTTGCGGTGTTACTGCCCCAGAAAGACATTAACTCCAGCTGATGAGACAGGAATGAAGGATGCCAAGGACAGAATAACGGCTGGGATGTGCTAATGCAGCAGGCACGCGTAAGTGTACACTTGCTGTGATGGGCAGACTTGCATTCATGCTGTTTTCAAGAAGTGAATTTCTTACCAGTCCAATTGTTATGCTAACAAAAATACATGGATCACCTGGGGCATAGTTTTTGATTCATTTCACAAACATTTTGTACCAGTGGCTTGTGCTCACTGCAGGGAAGCTGGACTGGATGATCGACTGAAAGATTTTGTTTTTCCTTCAACAACTGTTCTGCTCATCCTCCAGCTGAAATTCTCAACAAAATCATGCTTATGCTGTGTCATTTCCTCCAAATATGACATCATTAATTCAGCCATGTGACCAGAGAATCCTTAGATCAATCAAAAGTGATTACAGAAACACTTTCTTGAACAGCATGCTAGCAGCAGTGAACGGAGGTGTGGTTGTGGGGGGTTTTCAAAAGGAGTTTAACATGAAGAATGCCATATATGCCATTGCCAATGCATGAAACACAGTGACTAAGACACAGTCGTGCATGCCTGGCACAACCTCTGGTCTGTAACTATGTTTAATGATAATGATGAACAAGGTCGTGTCTTTGAAAGATTCTGTATGTCAAGTGAGAAAAAAAAGATGGCTGACTTCCTTACATATGGTAAAAATATTCCTTCAGAGTCCATTAGCAAGCTGGAAGAAGTGGATATTGAAGATTTTAACATTGATAATGAGGCTCCAGTTATTCGTTCACCGACCAATGATGAAGCAGTAAAAATGGTTCTGAATCAAGATGATTCTGATAATAGTGACAGTGAGGACGATGTTAACGCTTCAGAAAAAGTGCCTAGAGACAACATGGTGAAGATGTGTGAAGGACTTATCGAAGGACTAGGGCAGCATGCATTCGTAATAGAACGTGAAGTCATGTCAGTTTATAAAATCAAAAAGAGATTTCTAAGACAAAACCCGCAGATAACGAGGCAGATGACTGGAGGAAACATTTAGAAAGGCCACTCAGCAGAATGCCTCCTCATCCCTAGAGGACACACTTCCTGGTCCCTCAATGCCTCTAATGTTTCCCTCACCTAAAAAAAAAAAGAAAAAAATTACAGTTACAGTAAACTTTTACTCCAAGCAAGGCATCATAAGTGGAGACTGAAAGGTTGCTTACTGTTGCTGTTGTTTAACAGTTGTTCCAGGTGTCTGGTGATGCTACTGTGCTGCTTACACTTTATTCTCTCACTGTAATAATGGTATGTCAGTAAGTGTAAGAGAATGACTGCTTATCGGCATTATATAAATTCAGAGTCAGGAATGATGGTGATGCTAAACAACTACAGATTGTCCACAGAGATGGCCGAGATAGTCACGCCTTTGCTTTCTGATAGGTCAATGTCGACACACTTTGTTTTATGCACAAAATTATTTAAAATCATGCATAAAATTACTTTCAGTCTATAGGTATAATAAATATGCAAAATATATATGAATTTCATGTTTAAACTTGGGTCCCATTCCCAAGATATCATTATATGCAAATATTCCAAAATTCAAAAGAAATTCAAAACCTGAAACTCTTCTGGTCCCAGGCATTTTGGATAAGGCTACTCAACCCGTATAATGTAGGGTCCAGCCCTATAGGCCTCTTCGTGTGCGGAGACGAGAGATCGTAGGAAAAATAAGACACGAGACAAGGCCAGGTGCAGTGGCTCACACCTGTAATCCCCGTACTTTGGGAGACACAGGCGGGCGGATCACGAGTTCAGGAGATTGAGACCATCCTGGCTAACATGGTGAAACCCCCGTCTCTACTAAAAATACAAAAAATTAGCCCGGCGTGGTGGCGTGTGCCTGTAGTCCCAGCTACTTGGGAGGCTGAGGCAGAAGAATGGCATGATCCTGGGAGGCAGAGCTTGCAGTGAGCCAAGATCACACCACTGCACTCCAGCCTGGGAGACAGAGCAAGACTCCATCTCAAAAAAAAAAAAAAAAGAGAGTAAGAAAGACAGCTGGGCCCAGGTGGCCACTATCACCAAAGCGTGGAATCCAGTAGTGGCCTCGAATGCCTGGACACACTGCTATTTATTGTATACAAGGCAAGGGGTCAGGGTAAGGAGTGTGAGTCATCTCAAATGATTGATAAGGTCAAGCAAATCAAATGTCCATGTGACAGGGGGCCCTTTGTGGTAGCCGAAGCAGAGAGGGAGGACAGCATACGTCAGCATTTTTTCTATGCACTTATCAGAAAGATCAAAGACTTTAATACTTTCACTAACTCTGCTACTGCTATCTTCTAAGAACTTAAAAAGAGGAGCCAGGTATACAGGCAGAACATGAAAGTGGACAAAGAGCATGACCACTGAAGCACAGCACCACAGGGAGATGTTTAAGCCTCCAGACGACTGTGGGCAGGCCTGGCTAATGTCAGACCTCCCACAAGAGGCTGGTGGAGCAGAGTGTTCTCTAACTCCCCCAGGAAAAGGGAAACTCCCTTTCCCGGTCTGCTAAGTAATGGGTGCTTTCCCAGGCACTGGCGCTACAGCTAGACCAAGGAGCCCTCAAGCAGCCCTTATCTGGGCGTGACAGAGGGCTCACACTCTTGTCTTTTGGTCACTTCTCACAATGTCCCTTCAGCTCCTAACACTGTATGGCCTGGTTTTTCTTTGGTTATAAGAATAATACAAAGGTTAATACTGAAAACTAATGATTGATAATATCCATAATCATCTCTATATCCTATTTCTAATACAACTTTCTCTTATCCTAACTATTTTCTTAATTATATTGGAACATCTTGTGCCTTCAGTCTCTTGCTTCGGCACCTGGGTGGCTTTCTGCCCACAGTGTAAGTCTTCGAAGGAGTTTTGTGTCAAATCTATTCATTTTCCCCCTTAACACTGGTACTTTTTAGATCTCATTTAAGAAATTTATACTTGCCCCAAAGTGACATAAGTTTTGTATTTTCTTGCACTAGCTGTGAGAATGGTTTTCACAGCTAAACTTTTAATCCAGTTAGTTTATTTGTGTGTATGATACGAGGTAAGACACTTTTCCTCTCGTCTAGCAGAGTTTATACCTTCTGCTCTCTCCTCAAAACTTCTTCCCCCATTTCTTCCTCATACTGTGATTTCTACCTCACAGAGAAAAGGGAAGCAATACTGTGAAAATGTCCACAAACTGCAACCCTGCATCCGCCCGCCTACCTGCAACTGTGTCTATGTCCTTGAACTCTCTCCTATTCATAGAAGTGAGTTTTCCATGTTCCCACCAAGGGCAACCCCTCAATCCCACCTTCTTTGTCTACCCAATGCTTCCTCTCTCCTCCATTATCAGCTTTTCCCTCTACTAAATTTAACTCACTTCTCAAGAATATTGTGAGTTCTTCTTTAAAGTCAACAACAACCCATGCTGACCCTCCTTCTCCCTCCTGATACCTCACTTCTCTTCTTTTTCTGCATCAAAACTTCTCCAAGCATTGTCTATAGTCACTGTATCCAATTTCTCTCGTTTCATTCTCCCTTGAATCATGGTTTTGCCCCAACCAAGTACACATTGAAAGTAAAGCTGACAGAATTTGCTAATGTACATTGTTCCTTTTCAATTCATGAATGACCTCCACATTCCTATATCCAATGGTCAATGTTCAGTCTTTATTTTCCTTAACCTGTCATTTAAAATTATTGTTCTCCCTCTCTTCCATGAAACACCTTCATTCAATGTTTCACTCTCTCATTTTTCTCCCCGCTCTCTGGCCACGTTGGAGAGCTCAAGACGCAATCCTTAGTCGCCTTTTCTATCTGTATTCACTCCCTTTGGAAGGCCAGCCAGCCTCATGGCTCTAACGCCATTTGTTCACTGATGACTTTCTGGTATGCATCTCTAGCCTGTGCCTCTCTCCTGAATTCTAGGCTCATATATTACACTGCATTTTCACCTCATTTTGGTGTTCAACAGATATCTCAAACTTAGCATGTCCATGAGCAAACTTCCAATCTTTCCTTTCAAACTGGCTCTGCACAATCTACCTCCTAAAACACAAGTGCATTCTTCCTGTTGTTCAGAACAAAAATCTTGGATCCTTTCTTAACTCTTTTTGTTGTTGTTGTTCTCTCAAGCTTCGCATCCTATCCATCAGGAAATTCTGTAGGCTCTATTGTCAAAATATTTCCAGAATCAAACTAATTTTTAGTACCACCCAAGTCACAACCATCATAATCTGTTGCCTGGATTTGCTGAAACTCTCTCTGTATATAGGTCTTATAGCATGTTCTTTAATAAAGTTTAAAATATATTTTGCATAAAGTTTTTGTTTTACCTTCTTCTAGATTAGTTCCTGGATATTTTATCATCTTGTTGCCATCGTAAATGTGTCTTGTTTCCTGGTAAATATTTTAGGTGATTATTTCTGGTAAAGTGTATGTGTAAATTGACCTTGTATTCAGCTACCTTGTTGAACTCTCTAAATATGCTGATCGTTTGTTTATTAAGCCTGGTAGATTTTCTATAAAGATCATCTGGAAATAGTGATAGTTTTATCTCTTCCATTTTAATCCTCACATTTCTTTTTGGTTTTATTCTATTGCATTTTCTAGTAGCAGCATTTGTTTTACATTAAAATGTAAAGCAGGCAAGAAAACAAAAATTTCAGGTAAAATTAATTCTAATAATACATTTCAGAGGAGGAGCCAAGATGGCCGAATAGGAACAGCTCGGGTCTACAGCTCCCAGCGTGAGCGACGCAGAAGACGGTGATTTCTGCATTTCCATCTGAGGTACCGGGTTCATCTCACTAGGGAGTGCCAGACAGTGGGCGCAGGTCAGTGGGTGCGTGCACTGTGCTTGAGCCGAAGCAGGGTGAGGCATTGCCTCACTCGGGAAGCGCAAGGGGTCAGGGAGTTCCCTTTCCTAGTCAAAGAAAGGGGTGACAGACGGCACCTGGAAAATTGGGTCACTCCCACCCAAATACTGCACTTTTCCGACGGGCTTAAAAAACGGCGCAGCACAAGATTATATCCCGCACCTGGCTCAGAGGGTCCTACGCCCACGGAGTCTCACTGATTGCTAGCACAGCAGTCTGAGATCAAACTGCAAGGCGGCAACAAGGCTGGGAGAGGGGCGCCGGCCAGTGCCCAGGCTTGCTTAGGTAAACAAAGCAGCCGGGAATCTCCAACTGGGTGGAGCCCACTACAGCTCAAGGAGGCCTGCCTGCCTCTGTAGGCTCCACCTCTGGGGGCAGGGCACAGACAAACAAAAAGACAGCAGTAACCTCTGCAGACTTAAATGTCCCTGTCTGACAGCTTTGGAGAGAGCAGTGGTTCTCCCAGTACGCAGCTGGAGATCTGAGAACGGGCAGACTGCCTCCTCAAGTGGGTCCCTGACCCCTGACCCACGAGCAGCCTAACTGGGAGGCACCCCCCAGCAGGGGCACACTGACACCTCACACGGCAGGGTATTCCAACAGACCTGCAGCTGAGGGTCCTGTCTGTTAGAAGGAAAACTGACAAACAGAAAGGACATCCACACCAAAAACCCATCTGTACATCACCATCATCAAAGACCAAAAGTAGATAAAACCACAAAGATGGGGAAAAAACAGAATAGAAAAACTGGAAACTCTAAAAAGCAGAGCGCCTCTCCTCCTCCAAAGGAATGCAGTTCCTCACCAGCAACGGAACAAAGCTGGACGGAGAACAACTTTGACGAGCTGAGAGAAGAAGGCTTCAGACGATCAAATTACTCTGAGCTATGGGAGGACATTCAAACCAAAGGCAAAGAAGTTGAAAACTTTGAAAAAAATTTAGAAGAATGTATAACTAGAATAACCAATACAGAGAAGTGCTTAAAGGAGCTGATGGAGCTGAAAACCAAGGCTCAAGAACTACCTGAAGAATGCAGAAGCCTCAGGAGCTGATGCGAAGAAAGGGTATCAGCAATGGAAGATGAAATGAATGAAATGAAGCAAGAAGGGAAGTTTAGAGAAAAAAGAATAAAAAGAAATGAGCAAAGCCTCCAAGAAATATGGGACTATGTGAAAAGACCAAATCTACGTCTGATTGGTGTACCTGAAAGTGATGGGGAGAATGGAACCAAGTTGGAAAACACTCTGCAGGATATTATCCAGGAGAACTTCCCCAATCTAGCAAGGCAGGCCAACGTTCAGATTCAGGAAATACAGAGAACGCCACAAAGATACTCCTCGAGAAGAGCAACTCCAAGACACATAATTGTCAGATTCACCAAAGTTGAAATGAAGGAAAAAATGTTAAGGGCAGCAAGAGAGAAAGGTCGGGTTACCCTCAAAGGGAAGCCCATCAGACTAACAGTGGATCTCTCAGCAGAAACCCTACAAGTCAGATGAGAGTGAGGGCCAATATTCAACATTCTTAAAGAAAAGAATTTTCAACCCAGAATTTCATATCCAGACAAACTAAGCTTCATAAGTGAAGGAGAAATAAAATACTTTACAGACAAGCAAATGCTGAGAGATTTTGTCACCACCAGGCCTGCCCTAAAAGAGCTCCTGAAGGAAGCGCTAAACATGGAAAGGAACAACCGGTACCAGCTGCTGCAAAATCATGCCAAAATGTAAAGACCATCGAGACTAGGAAGAAACTGCATTAACTAACGAGCAAAATAACCAGCTAACATCATAATGACAGGATCAAATTCACACATAACAATATTAACTTTAAATGTAAATGGACTAAATGCTCCAATTAAAAGACACAGACTGGCAAATTGGATAAAGAGTCAAGACCCATCAGTGTGCTGTATTCAGGAAACCCATCTCATGTGCAGAGACACACATAGGCTCAAAATAAAAGGATGGAGGAAGATCCACCAAGCAAATGGAAAACAAAAAAAGGCAGGGGTTGCAATCCTAGTCTCGGATAAAACAGACTTTAAACCAACAAAGATCAAAAGAGACAAAGAAGGCCATTACATAATGGTAAAGGGATCAATTCAACAAGAAGAGCTAACTATCCTAAATATATATGCACCCAATACAGGAGCACCCAGATTCATAAAGCAAGTCCTGAGTGACCTACAAAGAGACTTAGACTCCCACAGATTAATAATGGGAGACTTTAACACCCCATGGTCAACATTAGACAGATCAACGAGACAGAAAGTCAACAAGGATACCCAGGAATTGAACTCAGCTCTGCACCAAGCAGACCTAATAGACATCTATAGAACTCTCCACCCCAAATCAACACAGTATACATTTTTTTCAGCACCACACCACACCTATTCCAAAATTGACCACATACTTGGAAGTAAAGCTCTCCTCAGCAAATGTAAAAGAACAGAAATTATAACAAACTATCTCTCAGACCACAGTGCAATCAAACTAGAACTCAGGATTAAGAATCTCACTCAAAACCGCTCAACTACATGGAAACTGAACAACCTGCTCCTGAATGACTACTGGGGACATAACGAAATGAAGGCAGAAATAAAGATGTTCTTTGAAACCAACGAGAACAAAGACACAACATACCAGAATCTCTGGGACGCATTCAAAGCAGTGTGTAGAGGGAAATTTATAGCACTAAATGCCCACAAGAGAAAGCAGGAAAGATCCAAAATTGACACCCTAACATCACAATTAAAAGAACTAGAAAAGCAAGAGCAAACACATTCAAAAGCTAGCAGAAGGCAAGAAATAACTAAAATCAGAGCAGAACTGAAGGAAATACAGACACAAAAAACCCTTCAAAAAATTAATGAATCCAGGAGCTGGTGTTTTGAAAGGATCAACAAAATTGATAAGACTGCTAGCAAGACTAATAAAGAAAAAAAGAGAGAAGAATCAAATAGACGCAATAAAAAATGATAAAGGGGATATCACCACTGATCCCACAGAAATACAAACTACCATCAGAGAATACTACAAACACCTCTACGCAAATAAACTAGAAAATCTAGAAGAAATGGATAAATTCCTCAACACATACACTCTCCCAAGACTAAACCAGGAAGAAGTTGAATCTCTGAATAGACCAATAACAGGATCTGAAATTGTGGCAATAATCAATAGCTTACCAACCAAAAAGAGTCCAGGACCAGATGGATTCACAGCCGAATTCTACCAGAGGTACAAGGAGGAACTGGTACCATTCCTTCTGAAACTATTCCAATCAACAGAAAAAGTGGGAATCCTCCCTCACTCATTTTATGAGGCCAGCGTCATTCTGATACCAAAGCCTGGCAGAGACACAACCAAAAAAGAGAATTTTAGACCAATATCCTTGATGAACATTGATGCAAAAATCCTCAATAAAATACTGGCAAACCGAATCCAGCAGCACATCAAAAAGCTTATCCACCATGATCAAGTGGGCTTCATCCCTAGGATGCAAGGCTGGTTCAATATACGCAAATCAATAAATGTACTCCAGCATATAAACAGAGCCAAAGACAAAAACCACATGATTATCTCAACAGATGCAGAAAAGGCCTTTGACAAAATTCAACAACGCTTCATGCTAAAAACTCTCAATAAATTAGGTATTGATGGGACGTATCTCAAAATAATAAGAGCTATCTATGACAAACCCACAGCCAATATCATACTGAATGGGCCAAAACTGGAAGCATTCCCTTTGAAAACTGGCACAAGACAGGGATGCCCTCCCTCACCACTCCTATTCAACATAGTGTTGGAAGTTCTGGCCAGGGCAATTAGGCAGGAGAAGGAAATAAAAGGTATTCAATTAGGAAAAGAGGAAGTCAAATTGTCCCTCTTTGCAGACGACATGATTGTATATCTAGAAAACCCCATTGTCTCAGCCCAAAATCTCCTTAAGCTGATAAGCAACTTCAGCAAAGTCTCAGGATACAAAATCAATGTACAAAAATCACAAGCATTCTTATACACCAACAACAGACAAACAGAGAGCCAAATCATGAGTGAACTCCCATTCACAATTGCTTCAAAGAGAATAAAATACCTAGGAATCCAACTTACAAGGGATGTGAAGGACCTCTTCAAGGAGAACTACAAACCACTGCTCAAGGAAATAAAAGAGGATACAAACAAATGGAAGAACATTCTATGCTCATGGGTAGGAAGAATCAACATCGTGAAAATGGCCATACTGCCCAAGGTAATTTACAGATTCAATGCCATCCCCATCAAGCTATCAATGGTTTCTTCACAGAATTGGAAAAAACTAAAGTTCATATGGAACCAAAAAAGAGCCCGCATCGCCAAGTCAATCCTAAGCCAAAAGAACAAAGCTGGAGGCATCACACTACCTGACTTCAAACTATACTACAAGGCTACAGTAACCAAAACAGCATGGTACTGGTACCAAAACAGAGATGTAGATCAATGGAATGGAACAGAGCCCTCGGAAATAACGCCACATATCTACAACTGTCTGATCTTTGACAAACCTGACAAAAACAAGCAATGGGGAAAGGATTCCCTATTTAATAAATGGTGCTGGGAAAACTGGCTAGCCATATGTAGAAAGCTGAAACTGGATCCCTTCCTTACACCTTATACAAAAATCAATTCAAGATGCATTAAAGACTTAAACGTTAGACCTAAAACCATAAAAATCCTAGGCAATACCATTCAGGACATAGGCATGGGCAAGGACTTCATGTCTAAAACACCAAAAGCAATGGCAACAAAGGCCAAAATTGACAAATGGGATCTAATTAAACTAAAGAGCTTCTGTACAGCAAAAGAAACTACCATCAGAGTGAACAGGCAACCTACAAAATGGGAGAAAATTTTCGCAACCTACTCATCTGACAAAGGGCTAATATCCAGAATCTACAATGAACTCAAACAAATTTACAAGAAAAAAACAAACAACCCCATCAAAAAGTGGGCGAAGGACATGAACAGACACTTTTCAAAAGAAGACATTTATGCAGCCAAAAAACACATGAAAAAATGCTCATCATCACTGGCCATCAGAGAAATGCAAATCAAAACCACAATGAGATACCATCTCACACCAGTTAGAATGGCAATCATTAAAAAGTCAGGAAACAACAGGTGCTGGAGAGGATGTGGAGAAATAGGAACACTTTTACACTGTTGGTGGGACTGTAAACTAGTTCAACCATTGTGGAAGTCAGTGTGGCGATTCCTCAGGGATCTAGAACTAGAAATACCATTTGACCCAGCCATCCCATTACTGGGTATATACCCAAAGGACTATAAATCATGCTGCTATAAAGACACATGCACACGTATGTTTATTGCAGCACTATTCACAATAGCAAAGACTTGGAACCAACCCAAATGTCCAACAATGATAGACTGGATTAAGAAAATGTAGCACATATACACCATGGAATACTATGCAGCCATAAAAAATGATGAGTTCATGTCCTTTGTAGGGACATGGATGAAATTGGAAATCATCATTCTCAGTAAACTATCGCAAGAACAAAAAACCAAACACCACATATTCTCACTCATAGGTGGGAATTGAACAATGAGATCACGTGGACACAGGAAGGGGAACATCACACTCTGGGGACTGTTGTGGGGTGGGGGGAGGGGGGAGGGATAGCATTGGGAGATATACCTAATGCTAGATGATGAGTTAGTGGGTGCAGCGCACCAGCATGGCACATGTATACATATGTAACTAACCTACACAATGTGCACATGTACCCTAAAACTTAAAGTATAATAATAAAAGAAAAAAATACATTTCATTTAATCCAATATATCTAAAACAATATGATTTTTCTAAGTTATTCACTCACCCTTTCTTTCTATATCTCATTGCTTCCTCATGGATTTATTTCTTTACTTTGCTGGGGTACTTCTTTACAGAATACTTTCATTGTATGTTACAAATTATGAAGACTTGTGTAATTGAGAATATCTGTTTCATCCTTATAATAAAATTGTTTAGCTGCATATAAAAGACTAAATTTGAAGTTATTTGCCTTCATGTTTAGAATCTTTATTTGCTTATTTCTCAAATCTATCTGACTATATGTAACAGTCTATTTTTTCTTGTTCATTTTTGATCTGATCTTTTATTTTTAATTAAATTTTTCATAGTTATTTTCTACTTCATTTCAGATAATCCCAGGATCTGAAGCTTTTGGAGTCTAAATCTATTTTGGATTGTTCCCTCTGACTCTTATTCAGGGAAGCCTGCTTCCTCATGATTTTTGTATATCTATATATTTTTAAATTTTGAGCTCTTATTTGGCTGAATTTAATCTGTAGGCGACCTGAAGGACCTGACTCTAAGAAGGTTTCCACCAAAGAGGATCTGTATTTGATTCTGCTGGATGTCTTAGACTGGAACCATTTGAATTTCATTTTAGATTAATGTTTCTCTGACCATTCAGGAAGTATAAATTCAACACCAGATGCAAGAGGAAAGGCCAGTGGTTGCAAATTCTCAGGGGATTATGACTTGGTTTTATCCCTTCTGGCTTCATGCTGGAGACAAATATGTTTCCTAAGTGATTCTTTTGTCTCAGGCAAGTGGATTCTTTTATTTTTGTAAAGCCAACAATTCACTAAGAACATGGACTCTTTGAGAGGTGGCTTCATAAGAAGAGGTGCAGTGGGCAGCTCCTACAACATTTCCAGGTTCCCAGGCCTAGTTTCTATTCCCTATTTGACAAGTTATTCATACTCAAAGTTCTAAGATCTTGGATAACCATTTGCTTCATTCACTCATCCATTCATTTGACATATATGTACTCAGCACTTACTCTGTCCCAGGCTTTGCTCCAGGGGCTGTGCTTTATCAGGAAATAAAATAATCAGAAATCCCTGCCTCACAGAGATTACATCCTAATGAGGGCAGCCTTCATTTCCAGCTTCATTGACTATACTTGTTTCAACTCTCTATTTGTTGAGGGAGGCAGAAAGTATAGGCTAGACTTACTCACTTATGGATTCAGTATTGTATTTTAAAACATTTAAAAATATATCCAGCATCCAGATGCTTTCCATGGGGAGCTTTTCAGCATATCTGGTCTGCAATACTTTCAGAAGGAACCAAATTGTTTTTCTCAAACCCAATAACTTCAGTTGGTTCTTCTCAAATTATTATTCTACCTTCATGTTGAATATCCTTTCTTGGCTACTTGAAGCTATGTAAAAGCTATTTTAATTGTTTTCTCTTTTTGGTCAATTAATTCTTATTTGCCTGGTATAATTTGTTCAGTGTATTGTGTTTCTTTATGGTATTTGTGCTCTTCAAATGTGTCATTATCTTTTCCTCTGAGCTCATATTTCCTTGGTTCTATCAAAGCTGGCAATTGCCCTCCGACCATAAATCATTAGAAAATTGGAAAACAAAATCTATTAAACAACTGTTTTCAGACGTTGAACCACAGGCAGCACAAGACTATGACTCCAGTGAGAACAAAGACAAATGAAGTGAGCCCTGCACTTGTACCAGCTTCCTACCTGGCAGCCGTTTCTAGGTTACAGTGCAAGGAGGAAAACCCAATAATTCCCAGCAGTCTTACCTAGTGAGGAGTAGAGATCAGAACTTGAGAAAGCAGAAGCACCTAGAATTGGCTGGGTGGATGCCTGGAGCAGTGGTAGCTACATGGAGTGAGGGCTTAAGAGAACAGAGGAGTCCCCTGGCGTCTTTGGCCAAATTGTGATCTGAGCATGCATGGAAGGAAAATCCACAACACCAGAGAAAGAACCACTGAGAAGCAATAGGTTGAACAATTCCCGGAGTTCTCACAGGGCTGGGGAGAGTTTGCAATCCCATCAATTATAAGAGACCTCACAATACACAGGGCATTGGATAGGGAGAGTCCTTAGAAGGGCCACACCTTAGTAGTGAGACTGTTAGCCTTAGAGTAAGGGCTGCTCTGGATCTACCCTTATAAGCCTGAAAAGCAAGCCTCAAAAGGATCAGTCTGATCTGCAAGTAATGTAACTGCAGGAAGAACACAGTCCAACACTCTTTAAAGGAATATGACAAAATCCAGCATTCACTGACCTAAAATTCTTGCTGCTCAACATTTAAAATTTGTTTATAATTTGTATTAACTAATTTTTCTGGGAATCATGTGGTCTTGACTTAGGTCTTATTTAAATCTATTTACTAAGCCTGAATGTGATCAATGTATAAGAAATTTACAGAGATTAAGTACCCAAATACTCAAAGTACTTGTATTCTTTTAGTATCATATATCCCAAGAGCTATGAACAACCAGTGTTTCCCAATGGTTTTTAAATTATTGCTCCCCTAAGGAGTATTTTAAACATTTTTTTATAATTACTCCATTGCATAAGATTTTAATATGGCAGATATAATGTATACACTTTTATGCATTGGCTTACGTAAATGTATATCTATGATTTAGACATTAAAAGAGTAAGATTTTTCCATCCCCTTGGGAACAATATTTTTCCCATTGAGAATGCATGCTCTAGAGCCTCTGCAGTCAGTTATTTCAAACATTAAAAATGTCAGTCCTTTATGCTTATCTGCCTGCACGTCCTATCTTCTAGCAACAAAAAAATTAGAAGTCAAAATTTTCAAAATGGATTTCCAGTGGCATCCAAAACATGAAATATTTGACAAAAGAGGTCAAAAAACCTGTACACTGAAAACTATGAAAAGTCACTGAAGAAATTAAAGACCTAATTTAAATGGACAGCTACACCATGTTCATGCATTGGAAGACTTTAATGTTATTATGATATCCACTTCCCCCAAAATTGACCTATAGATTGAATATAATTTCTATCAAAATTTCAAATTTTTTAATATATAAATTAACAAACTGCTTCTAAAATTTATATGAAAGGTAAAAAATCTAGCTTGGATAGTCAAAGCAATTTTGAAAAAGAACAAAGTTGGGAGACTTACACTGCCTAATTTTAAGACTTAATCCAAAGCTACAATAATCAAGACAATTTGGTCATTGTGTAAGGATAAACATGTGGACTAGTGGAACAAAATAGAAAGTCTAGAAATAGACCATACACAAAGCTGCCAAGGTATTTCAATAGGGAAATAACAGGGTCTTTTTTTCAACAAATGGTGCTGTAATAACTGGCTATTCATATAGAAAAATATGAGCATCAACACTTATCTCACGCCATATAAAAATATTAATTCAAAATAGGTCAAATACCTAAAAGTAAAACTTAAAACTATAAACTTTCTAGAAAAAAAATATAGGGGAAAATCTTTGTAACCTGAAGTTAGGCAGATATTTCTTAGTTATGGCCCGAAAAAGTATAAACATAAAAGAAAAAACACAAATTGGACTTCATCAAAATAAAAAACTTGAAAACTTTGAAAGATATTGTTAAGAAAATAAAAATGCATGCCACAGACTGGGAGAAAAATATTTGAATAACATACACATTATAAGGTATTTATCTTTAGAATATAGAAAGAATTCTTGGAACTCAGAATAAGAAGACAAATAACCCAATTAAAAATAGAAAATATATTTGAACAGGAATTTTACCAAATAAAATATATGATGGCAAAAAAAAACCACAAAAAGATCCACAACATCATTAGTTATTAAAAAGAATGCAAGTTGAAACCATATGTTACTAATACATACTACTAGAATGTCTAAAGTTAAAAAAAAAATAAAACTGACCATACCAAGTGTTGACTAGGAACTCTCAAACATTGCTGTTGGGACTGCAAAGTGGTACAGTCACTGTAGAAAATCAGTTTAGCACTCTGTAATACAATTAAACCTACATTTTCCATATGACCCAGCAATGCTACTTCTAGGTATTTACCCAAGAAAAAGAAAATATTGTACATGAGTGTGTATAGCAGCTTTATTTGTAATAGCCAAAAACTATAAGCAACTCCAATGTCCATCAACCAGTGAATGACTAAATGACTTTTGGGATATTCATGCAATATTCAGCAATATGAAGGAACAAACGACTGATACATTCAATGCCATGATGAATCTCAAATGCATCACACTTAGTGAAAGAAGCTAGACTACTTCTTTCACTACCATATGATTCTATTTATATAAAATTGTAGAAAAGGCAAAACGACGATGATAAAGAACAGATCTATCTTTCTGGGGAAAGGTACTAGGGTGGGGTATTGGTACGGGAATTCTGTAAAGGGTCATTAGTGAACTTCTTGAACTGAAAAAATTGTTGTGTCTTGATTGTGATGGTAGTTACACTAATACACCCACTTGTCAAAACTCAACACTGAAAACAAGTAAATTTTATACACATTATAGTTCAATAAATCTGCCTCTTTTTTTTTTTTTTTTGATGGAGTTTCGCTCTTGTTGCCAAGGTTGGAGTGCAATGGCACAATCTCAGCTCACCACAACTTCCGCCTCCCAGGTTCAAGCAATTCTCCTGCCTTAGCCTCCTGAGTAGCTGGGATTACAGGCGCCTGCCACCACGCCCAGCTAATTTTTTGTATTTTTAGTAGAGATGAGGTTTCACTATGCTGGCCAGGCTGGTCTTGAACTCCTGACCTCAGGTGATCCACCTGCCTCAGCCTCCCAAAGTGCTGGGATTACAGGCGTGAGCCACTGCGCCCAGCCCCTGACTTTTTTTTAAAAAAGCCCATACCCCTAAGTAAATACTTCTAATTCTAAATACATTCTGGATTTCAGAATGAGTAGAAGGGATATGGACTTGGAAGGATCTTCTGGCTTTACAATCTGGGTTCAGCAACTCCTCCCCACTTATTTGCCACAGGTAAACCTGCTGCTAGGTAGATCTGTCTTCCAAGATCTGCTACATAGAATGCAACTGATAACACAGGAGTGGCATCCAGGATGAAGAAAAAAAGAATTCTCAGGATCTTCCTGATCCTCTCACTGTTGTTACTCTTTCACTCCTTACCCAGCCAGTCTCTGGGCCTTCCCTAATTTTCGCCTCTTGCCTTTGGCTGGCTCTAAGCTGCTGCTGCTGTTTTCCTTACCATCCATTTCCCCATAAAAGCGTGAGTAGTAATGTGGTTGAGGGGGAGGGCCAGAGGTGGAGAGATATAACTAGAAAGTTTTCTCAAAATTCATTCCTCAATACCAGGCTCTCTCTCACTCTATGTTTTCCACTGCACCTGGAACCACTCTATTTCATCTTCCCAAAGATTTCTCATGATTTTTGCACTAGATTCTGGGAACCATCAATATCTTCTGGCTTCTTGGGTAGAGATCCTGGGAAAGAGCCAACAGCTGGTGCTTGTCCATAATCATTGTATTTACTGAATTCCAAACTAACTTTTGTCTTGAATCTTTTTGCTTGAATAAAAGTTGAAATTGGATTATAAATCAATGCAACAGTCAACAGCAGCTCTACTGAAGCCAAGGTGGGGCTGGGTCCCATAGTGCTGCCCTACAGGGTTGGGAAAGAAAGACAAGGAAGATTCCAGGAACACTGAATACTGAAATCAAAGAAGCAGAGACAGAGATGATGTAATGTGCTTGGGGCAATATGAGCAGGCCAGTCTGGAGGAACAAGAATAAAGATAAGGTTGGAAAGCTGGGGGTGGGGTGTCAGTTCATGGGACTTTACATGACAATGGAGGAAGTTTGTTTTCTGCAGGCAATAAGGAGCCATGGATAATTCAGATGATCCAGCAGCATTATGATCTGATACGTTGTTTCAGGCTTAAAAGCCAAACTTCCCAATGGAAAGGCAAAGAAGCTGCTGGGGATAGGGGAGCTGGAGCACTGGGCTTTTGTCAAGAACTCTTGGCTGGTGTAATCGAAGGTAGGAAATGCTGGAAGCACAGAGCAAGAGCAGAACTTTCTAGTTCAGCCTCCGGATTTTACAGCTGAGGAAACGAGGCCAAAGAAAATCAGAGACTAGCCAAGTGTCAAAGTGAGTTAGTGGCAGACCTGGGACTAGAATACTGTTCTTTGGACACTCACACCTATGCTCAGTGCTGGCAGCAAGGCCTTCACACAGTTGTGCAGTTGGAAGTAGCCAATGATTTTCGAAAATTCCTATTCATGGAGGAAGACGTATAAAATGGTCAGATCATGGAAAATGACATTCCAGTTGGGTCTTTCCAACCCACTGTACAGGAACAGCTTCTCAGACAAAGTGTATTTGCCCGTGGTCTTTCCAATAAATTCTCAAATAGATGTCAAGATTGAGCAGTCAACTTGGTCACTTCCTCAAGCAGGCTTTTGGACTTAATGGAAAGTGCACATCCAGCCACCTAAGCACTTGAGCCCAAACCCTGGCTCAACATCTGGTCCCTGTTTCTCAGTGTCAGGTTGAGTGGATTGTGCAAAGCACACATGCCTCCTACCAATTTAGCAATTGATAACTTGCTCTGGGGGAGCACTTACAAGGAGTCCTCTTGCTCTTTGTCTTTATTCTCTGGCTATTGGGGGTTTTTTAGGTCACAAAGAGGGAATGGGACAGGGAAAAAACTTAAAAAATTATTTCTCAATCTCAAACTGGGAGCCAAGTAACTTAACCTACTAATTGTTCTGAAAGATTTCCTTTGCTCTTTCTCCTTCAACACAACAACCTCTTGTCAGAAATCATTCATTGTGGCCTGCAGAAATTACACACTAAATTCCAAGGTTGGCCACTAGTATAAAATAATAGATCATTAGTAGACTTCTATGAATTACACATTTATAAAATAGTCCAAAAACACCATCTGGGTTGCTGCAGGTCTGCTGGGGAAACAGGTAGGGAGATGGAAGGGTCTGTGTCTTGATTCTGAGCCAGACATTTGATTGATGACTATATCGGACAGTTGACGTCTCATCTTCATTAGCAAATGTATTCCTATTATCTACTCAATGACCTAAGATCAATGTAAAAAAACAAAAATGATAACAAAAACCTTTCCCGAGCTCAAAACTTTCATGTTATTTTTTTTTCAAATGTTTCGACTGATTGGAAGAATTAAAATGAAATTTACTTCAAAAGCAGCAAACATGAGTGATGTTGTGTGCACATGAACTGGATTTATTAGGTTAAAAAAAAAAGCCCAAATAAACCATCTTAAAATATGCTAATACATGTCCATAGCACCCACAACACACTTTTCCCTAATGTTAAATATGAAAATACAGTGCAAATCACCCCGGAAATGTGTGGTGGAAAAAAAGGTATACCGTGGCTGAGATAATCAACACACACTGATTACTGTTTTTCTAAGTGCTTATGAGTCTTTTGCATTTCTTCTATATAATTCAGTATCAGAGTTAATGACGTATCATAGTTTTCTCTGATTCAGAAGCACCTCAATTCCTGAAAGTTTTTGCTCCCTTCAAGACAACTTATCTGCAGCAAAATTACCAATAAATCTCTCAGCATGAGAAATAACAGGGCTGAATGACTTTGTGATGAATAAAGAGGGTGGTTGGCTTCTCTCCATTCATCCTGATAATCTTCATTGCTATGTAAACAGTAAGAAACATTATCATGATTCATGTTCAAGTCAGTTCTCAGCTCAACACTGTATCCAGAGAAATGCTACCTAGTAAACATTTTATTAGGATTGCAAGGCACCGGCAAGAAAATGGCAAAAACATGACAGCCTGAACTTGTAAGTGAATGTGTGCATGAGAAAGAGGAATACTGAGAAAGAGTAATTAATCTCTGTGAGATCAGACACATTTAGCAGCATGTCTAATAAATGAATACTCTTCTAAACATGGTTAAACTATTCACTTTTCATTATTCTCATCAGAATCCATGTTAACCCAAGTTAGGAGATAACAGGAATAAACAGTAAATCCCACAATAAGGGTTTCAAGTCCTTCCTATTTTTAACATCCCAAAACTTAGAAGTATGAAATCAATATGATCATTACAGGGGTGCTGAAAGGCTGGGGTTGGGTAGATATTCTAAAAATGTCTGAGAACTGATAGGATCATATTTCCAAACAAGTCCAGACTTCTGTCATCTGTGCCCAGTTGGAAGAAAATTCTCAATGTAAGAAAATCATTCTCAGGCAGGCACCTGGAAGAATCTGTGATTGCCAAAACATTTCCAGTGAACCACTTTCCCTCTCAGGATACAAGGCCCCGATCCATTTGCATAAAGTCCTAATGCTAGAAAATCAACCAGAGTAGATAAGATCTGCCTGTCGGTTTCAAGCCAAGAGGAAAAGAGGAAGCCAGACACTCCTCCAAAGCTTTCTTTCCCCTTAGGATTGCATCAGTTCCCACTCTATGGGATTATTTTTAAACGCTGGTTTAAAATATTCCATAGCCCAGCTGTTCAATACCACAACATAAGGTCAATTTTATATAGTTGTACATCCTTGAAGAGCTAAAGTAAGGTGACCCAAAAGGCCAATTTTCCCCACCAATAAAATATTCATTCTTGGAAAGCTGCCATTGTGTTATGACACTTATATTTCCTTGTTTCACTAATGTAAAATTTGAACTTTGAAATACATTTGTGGATTTAATGTTTGTAGTTCTCAGGCTTGGATCACAAGATCTCAGTGTGTATCAATTACGTTTGCTAACAATGAACTGAGCCTAGATATGTCAAATCCAGTGATACTTCCCAATTGCATAGAGCCCAATTTAGCCAACCAAATTTCTTTTGAATTGTCAGAATGAGCATTGCACCTGTGAAATAGTCAAAAGAGGAGCTACTCTGGGAGGCTGAGGCAGGTGGATCACTTGAGGTCAGGAGTTCAAGACCAGCCCGGCCAACATGGTGAAACCCTGTCTCTACTAAAAATACAAAAATTGGCCGGGCATGGTGGCCTGCACCTGTAATCCCAGCTACTCAGGAGGCTGAGGCATGAGAATCAATTGAACCCTGGAGGTGGAGGTTGCAGTGAGTCTACATGGCACCACTGCACTCCAGCCTGGGCGACAGAGCAAGACTCAGTCAAAAAAAAAAAAAAAAAAAAGAAGAAGAAAAGAAAGAGGAGCTACTGCAACATAGGATGGTGAGGAAGGGAGGTACTTAACACAGACTAAGGAGCAAGAGCAACTAGCAAGGTTCAAATCCAAGCATGCCACCTGTTGGTTTAGCTGAGGGTCTGTGCCTCAGTCTTCTCTTTCAAATGAGGAAGGAACTTCCTTCACAGTTTTGTTTGGAAGACTAGATGAGATCATACCTGTGAAGCTCTTAGAAAAGGTTTTAGGCTGTGGTGAGTGTGCATGGTGTTTGACATTAGCATCCTCACGAATCAGCAGAAGCTTTTTTGTTTGTTGATCCTCACAAAATTCCTGTAGAGAGACTCGTTTTACAGATGAGGAAACTGGGACTCAGAGTGGTTAAATAACGTACTCAGGGTGATACGGTGAGAAAGAAACATCCAGGAATATTTGCTTGTTTTCTCTTTTGTGCTGTTGCTCTCTAGATACTGTATTTTACTTCTTTTTTGAGCTAACCAAAATTTTTATTTCAGTACTTTGAATTATCCCTTTTTCTCTTCTTCCTTTTATCACATCTTCCCTTTCCCCCTTTTCCTTTCTTCCTACAAGAATATTTTTAGCATCTCCCATGGACAAAACGCCCTTTTAAGCCTCACAAAATAGATGCGCATTGTTAAAAAGCAAGGAAGGCCTCTGGTGCCCTTGTCTCCCAGAAGGGAAGAAGGCTCTGTATCCTCCCCACTTCTTTGATGTGGCCTAAGAGCTTTCAACTTCACTTTTCCTTGAGGTTCATTCAGTAGCCCCTAGCAAGGAGCTGTTCCTGCCCAATCAGAGATCTGAAAGTCAAGTTCATGTGCCCACAAATGGCTCCAAAATAAAGTCTCCCCTAAGACCCTCATCTAAAAGTAGGTTGCTCCCTCCCTAAAGAGTGCGTCATTTTAATGATACAAAAGATCCTGGCTCAGAAGCACTTTATGTTCCAGACTTTCCCAGACAGTGCTGACTTCAATATCATTTTCAAGAAAGATAATTCCTTAAATGTAAGCCTGTAAGAAAAACTCATTTTTCCTTCCTTATACTCACACTTAACACAGAACACTTCTGTAACCAAATATGTGTGGGGTTTTCCCACACCAACTAGTTCTCCAATTCTCTTCAGACGCCAACTTGGTGTTCAATAATTCAATTCAATTCTGACACCATCTACCTGGGATTAGCACAGATCCCACAGGTTAAGTGTTCAGTTCCTCCTGACTCCTCACCCCACTTCAGACACCAATCACAAGTGATGGTCTCTAGGTTACCCACAACCCCTGTCTGACTTGGTTACAAATAGGAGGGTCCCATAACCTCCTCCTCAGTTTTGATCATTTGCTAGAACAGTTTGCAGAAGTCAGGGAAATACTCACTTATATTCACCTACCACTTTATTACAAAGAATATTACAAAGGATACACACACACAGCCAGATAAAGAGATGCAGAGGGCAAGGTCTGAAAGGGTCCCAAGCACAGGCACTTCTGTCTCCATGGAGCTGAGATGCACCACCCCCAGCACGTAGACGTGTTCATCAATCTGGAAGCTCTCAGCCCTATACTTTAGGGATTGTTATAGACACAGAAAAATCTATGATGTAGATCTTTCATGGCATAGGCAGGATCAATTTTTAACTAAATCTCCAGCCCCACTCCTCTACCCAGAGGATGGAGAGTGAGGCTGAATGTTCCAAGCTTCTCATCATGGCTTGATCTTTCTGGTGACAAACTCCATACAGGAGTCCACCAAGAGTCACCTTGTTAGAATGAAAGATGCTCCTATCACCCAGGAAATTCCAGGGGATTTAAGAGCTCTGTGCTGGGAACTGGGTCAGAGACCAAATATTAGGACAAAATATTCTCCTCGCACCCCTATCACTCAGGAAATAACAAGGGTTTTAGTGGCTCTGTGTCAGGAATCAGGAGCAGTGACCAATATCTATATATTTCTTATTATACCTCAAAGCCCAAATGTAATTTTTTTAAATGTGAGTAATGGCTGCATTTTCTGTAGGAAAAAAAAAGAGAACAAGACAAGTACTCCCTCACCAGAAAATAGAATAACTTCCTGGCCTCATCAACATGCCACCTCCAGCGTCAGCATTGGCCCAGAAATACAACCATTTTATATTTTCAGAAGCTTGACTTCAGTCTAGCCAAAATGAATTAAGCTCACCTGGTTTCACTATGCATGTGGATGCATGTGTACACAAAATGTGATCATGTGAGTTTTCCTTCCAGCAGCAGTGAGCTGCAGAGACCGGTCTTCTAAAACAAAAGGCATGGGCAGCAGGGCTGTGGAAACGGGCTGCCTAGAAATGCTGTGCTCACACATGTGACTTTGAATCCCAGATGATAGTTTGCCAAGCTAATGTGATTAATGTGCCCTTGTAGGTGACGTTTCCTGCTATTTCCTGTTCTCCAGTAAAAGCCGATCACACCCTGCCTTACAGCCTCCAGCAGGGTGGGGGAGTTGAAACAGGAACTCCTGCATCTCAGCTGCTGTGTAGAGGGGTGGCCAGTTCCTCAAAAAGGAATACCACCCTTAGGGGATTTAGAGCCGCTGGTCATCCTGGTTTTCCATCCTCACTCTCCCTCCCTGCCCACCACCCCAGCCCCGTGGACGTCCAGCAGGAAGTGGCGGCCATGAGGCAAGCAGCTGTGGCTAGAGATCAGCCAGAAGCATGTGGGCAGAGGTGGCTCAGAACAGCCTCAGAAATCTGGAGACGGAGTTGTAGAGGACTAAATGCTAAAGCTAAAGAGAGGAGAGGAACTTGAAGATGGCCTATGCTAATTTTTCCTGCTTCCCTGGAAAAGAACTGAGGCCTAGCATCCAGTTAACTAGTGGCAGAGCAGGCTGGACTTGCTACAGACTGTCCAGTATAGGACTAAATAATTTTTTTAAATGTAATGGGTGTCAAAGAGAAAATGGATGAAAACGCTTTTGCCAAATGGGGAGAGGAATAATGAGTGGCTTTTAAAAATAAATCTCCAAAAGATCTAGCACTAGATGGGTGGAGCTTCATCTGCCACTCTAACCAGTTAGGGTAAAAGGGTCAGCACCCAGGCTCCATCCAGAAACCTTCTGGCAAACCCAAATCTTCTAAGACACTGGCTCTCAAACCTTCCACACAGTGCCATCACCTTGGAGATTTAAAAGAATTCAGGTACCTGGTCCCACCTCAGAGACTTTGATTTGAGAGGGTTGGATTGGCCTGGGTGTGGGGATTTCTCAAAGTTCCCCAGGTGATTCTGATGTGCAGCCAAGTTTGAGAGCCATTGTTAAAACATGAGCATTTCTCCACTCTTCTCCTCCCAGAGCTTTTCCTCCTCCAACCCCCTTTATGACGTTTCTTACCACCTGGCTCCTGGGGCTCCCTGGTGCATTCACAGATGTGGCCCAGATCACTGTGGCTCACTTTTCTAAGCCTGATCCCCAAGTAGATCAATGGATCTGTCTCAGGAAGAGTGATCCTTGGAGAGACACATAATGACTCCCTGCAAATGATTCTCCTATTTGAAACACAGCTCAAGCCAACTATCATTGCTTTAAAGGGGAGAATAAAAAGAAAGGCATGCTCACTTAGCATGTGAAATTGTCCTCTATCCTTTGACCTCCTCTGCCTGGCTGTGATATTGTAAGTTGATAGAATACCACCGCATTCCCCTTAGCCACAGAAAATAAAGGAAGGGGCTTCATCAAGAATAGCTTCAAGTGAGGGAGGGAATGATCAGGTTTGCTTTCAGGAAAATGGCTGCAGTGTGTTGGTGTGGAAGATGGATGCTACTCAGGAGACTAGAGTTAGGGAGCCCACTTCGGAGGCTACTGGCACAGTGAAGGTGAGAGGAGATAGAGCCTGAGCTAAAGCTACCTATGGGGGACTGACGTGAAACATGTGCCTGTAATAAATCCAGTGCATTGGTAATAGATTTGGGGGAGGGAATGGATTTGTTGATGCAAGAATTTAGGGAAATTTGAGTGTCTACATAAAATGACTGAAAATATTATGATCCAGGAAAGGTTAAGAACCACTCATTTAAGAAAACCGACAAAGAAAAGAACCACTAACTGGGAGAGAGAATAGCCTTAGATTCTGTATGATGTTCTGCACCTTCTTTTTAAATTCCCCGGCTATTGATCTGGAATTTTATGTATAACTCTAGCACCTGCCAGCAAACTCTAAGGTTAGCCTATGCAAGGAAATGAGGAGAAAGAGTGAAATAACTGTATTTAATGGTTTCTGGTTTGACTCTCTACATGGGGCTTGTGACCTTAGCTAAATTGAAGACTTGGATGACTATGAAGGGGACAATCATGAAGTTGGCCCTGACCCTTGCTTGTAGTTCTTTAAAGTCTTTATAGTAATGATTTTATTAAATAAATAGCTTTGCAAAGCCTGTACAATTATTGTTGTCATAATCATTAATGTAACTTATCAAATGGCAGAGACTACTGAAGCTTGCTTGGTTCCTTAAAAGGCATAGGGAATTGGTGGGAAATGCCAAAATCCTGAAATGGTTTTTCATTACAACAAAAGAGAACAATGAGGATACTGTTGTCAGATATCTCAATGAGGCAAATAAAGTATAGAAAGAATTCTTCTTCTTTTAAAAATGACACTTCTTCTGATTGTAAAAATAACCCATAGGCATTGTAAAAGCTGTAAAAATGTAAAAACAGCAAAAACAAGTAAATAAATGCCAACCATATCCCAACAGCCATACATAATTATTATAAACATTTCGATGTATTTTTCGTCTTTCTTCTAAAAATACTTTTTTGTATAATTGGGAGTAATATTGTATTGTACATAACATTTTTGTATCCTAAGATTTTTTTCACTTAGTATTATAATTATGATCTTTCCTACCATCATTATTTTTCAAAAACATGATTGTAATAGCTATTTTTCCTTCTTTATAAGTGCTCCTTCAGTAGATATATTGTGACGAGTATAAAATATGTTTCTTATGTTCTCAAGATATAGCATTAGTTTTATGTTTAAATGCAATCATAGGAACTGGGCCTTTCTATTGCCTTCTTGTCTCTTTTGTGTAGATCTTTCAGTAGAAGCTCTCTTAAATGACCTTCGCTTAGCTGACTCTCCAGATTAACTGACTGACCTTCTGTTTACTCTATTTTTTCATGACCATGCTGAATCCCTATAGCCCAGTAGTCTACTGTGATACACTGATATACTTTTGCTCTTCCTGTTTTATTTGTATGCTTACCAAGAGTTGATTGGGTTTGTTCCCAACCTGTTTCTGCCACCTGTACATATTATAATGACTACACAATTTAATTATATACTTCAGCAATCCATAAAATCTCAGGATTAAAAGAGTGTAATTTCCATGAACATAAAGTAGAATCCTTCAGAAACAGTCTATAAAGAAAAGTCACTTATTTTTACTGAAAAATAATTGTTTATAAAAATCAATCATTTCTATATACTAGGAATTATAATTTGAAACTGAATGTTAAAAAAACAGCATTTATGATTGTTCACAGGATCTATATGCTGAAAACTATGAAACACAGATGAAAGAAATCAAAGAAATCAAAGATCTAGATAAAAGCAGAGATACACAATGTTCATTGATTGGAAAACTCAACATAGTAAGAATGAAAATTTTCCCCAAACACATTTATAAATTTACTGCAGTTCCAATAAAAAGTTCAGCCATATATGTACACATGCTGATTCTAAATTTCAGGTGAAAAGGAAAAGGAATTAGGATAGCTAAAACAATTTTTGAACAAAAAGAATAAAGTTGGATTAATAACACTACTAAAGTAATCAAGATAGTATAATAGGACTTTTGATTTCAAAATGGCAGAGTAAAAGCAAGCTGGTTTCACTCTCCCCACAAAAACCAAAAACAAATACACAGTACTGAGATTATTGCCAGCAATATCCCAGAACTCAAATATCAGAATGAGACAGTTCCCAGGGCAACAGAGCTGTGAAATCACTCGGGGCAGATAGTAAAAGGACTACCGTATCCATGACACCCTTCCCTCCAAGTCTGCCTGGCACAGCACCAAGCATGAGAAAAATTTCTCCCTGACTCACAGTTTCTACACTGGAAAAAGTGAGACTGAGGTGCACAACCAGCTTCTTTACCAACTTGGGCTCCCTACTACAACAGTCCCTGTCTCAACCCATGGGAAGCATCAGGAGTGCCTGAAAGGAGAAATAACCCTGATTACAGCCAGTGACAAAGGTGGGGGTATTACCATTCCCAGACCCTGAAGCTTTACTATGTAACTAGGCCAAAGGAAATGCCAAATTAGTGTGGCTGTGCAGCAGCACTACACTGTGGAAGGTTTGTTCCACAGGTCCCCTGGGCATAAACTCTTAGCCAGCCTTCCCACACTGCCAGGATGTCCCCTTTGAGATCTCTCCCATTTGGAATGGGCAGCACTCTGGTTGTTTACTACAACTGAGGCAACCCTGGGCTTAAGGCACCATCTAGTGCCAAAAAAGAGGCAACAACATCATTGGGGAAAAAAAAAGATAATCTACAATTAAATTACAAAGCATTTCTAGGAAAACTTATCCAATAAAACCCAAAACAATCCAGGCAGAGAAGACTGAAATAAATAATCCTTCAATGCAAAGATGTAAATGTACATCTACAAAAAACAACAGCAAATGGGGAACCATGACCTCCCCAAATGAACAAAACAATAAACCAGTAACTGACCCTAATGAAACTGCAATATGTATGCTCTCAGATCAAAAACTGAAAATAGCAGTTTTAAGAATACTCAGAAATCTCTAAGATAACACAGAAAAGCAATTGAGAAATTTATCAGAGAAATGTAACAAAAAGATTGAAATAATTAAAAAATCAAACAGAAATCATGGAACTGAGAAATACATTTGCTGAATTAAAAAATGCAACAGAGGCTCTCAACAGCAGAATGGTGATATCAAGCAGAGGAAAGAATCAGTTAAGTTGAAGATAGGCTTTTTGAAAATGCACAGAAAAGAAAAAAATGAAAAGAAACAAAGATCACCTAAAAGATATAAAAAATTACCTTAAAAAACAAAATCTAAGAATTACTGGTGATCAAAACAGAGTTGAGTAAGAATAAGGGATAGAAGGTTTATTCAAAGGCATAATAACAGAAAACTTTTAACACTTGAGGAAAAATAAATAACCAGGTACAGAAAGGTCAGAAAACACCAAGCAGATTCAACTCAAATGAGACTACCCCTGGAATAAAATGTTCTACCCCTAATCAAATGTTCAAGAATAAAAAATAAGTAGAGAATCTTAAAAGCAGCAAGAGAAAAGAAGCAAATAACATATAAAGGAGCTCCAATTGATCAGCCAACAGACCTTTCAATGGAAATCATACAGGCCAGGAGGGGGTAGAATGACATTTTCAAACTTCTGAAAGAAAAAAAAGACTGTCATCCAAGAATACTATATCCAACAGAGCTATCCTTCTAATATGAAGCAGAGAAGTCTTTCCCAAACAACAAAAGCTGTGAGAATTTGTCACCAGACCCATCTGACAAAAAATGCTAAAGAGAGCTCTTCAAACTGAAAGAAAAAAATACTAACATGCAAAAACAAACAAACAAAAAAAAGTGTAAATATATAAAACCCACTGGTAAAATTGAGTACATGACAAACCCAGAATACTCTAATACTGTAATTGTGTTCTGCAATCTACTCATAACTCCAGTAAGAAATCTATTAAAAACAATAATACCTACATCAACCTGCTAAAAGATAGACCACCAAACAATTGTTTTGCATTTATTTCTGGGTCCTCTATTCTTTACCATTGGTCTACGTGTCTGTTTTTATTTCATTACTGTGCTGTTTCAGTTAGTATAACTTTGTCATATATTTTGAAGTCAGGTAGTGTGATCCCTCCACCTTTGCTCTTTTTGCTCAGATTGCTTTGGTTACCTGGAGTATTTTGTGGTTCCAAACAAATTTTAGGATTACTTTTTCTATTTCTGTAATGAATGTCATTGCATTTTGATAGGGATTGAATTGAATCTGTACATTGTTTTGGGTAGCCTGGTCATTATAACAATATTAATTATTTCAATCCATGAACATGGAATGTCCTTCTATTTTGTTTTATCGTGTTCGATTTTTTTCATCAGTATTTTATTGTTTCTCTTGTGGAAGTCTTTCACTACTGTGGTTAAATTTATTTCTCAGTATTTTTTTCTTTGCTATTATAAATTGGATTGCTTTCTTGATTTCTTTTTCAGCCAGCTCGTTGTTAATGTATAGAATCACTACTGATTTGCAGCAGAGAGGTGGGTCTCATTTTTCTAAAAATTTATTCAGCCAGTCTATATATTTTAATTGAAGAATGTGATCTATTTAGATTAAAGGTTATTATTGGTATGTGAGTACTTACTCTGTTTGTTATTTGTATTTTGATGCCTTTGCATATTTTTTGTTTCTTTCTTCCTCTGTTATTGTTTATCTTTGCATTTTGGTGGTTTTCTGTAGTGATGCATTTTAACTACTTTTTCTTTCTTCTTTATGTCTCTGTTCTGCCAGTGAGTTTTACACATTCATGTGTTTTCATGATGGTAGATATCATTCTTTTGCTTCCAGATATAGGTCTCCCTAGTGTTTCTTGTAAGACCAGTCTAGTGGTAATGAATTCCATTTTTGTTTGTCTGGAAAAGACTTTATTTCTCCCTTCATTTTTGAAGGATAGTTTTTCTGGGTATGAATTCTTGGTTGTAAGTCTTTTTCTCTTTCAGCGTGACTATATCATGCCATTCTCTCTCTGCCTATAAGGTTTCCGCTAAGAAATCTGTTAGTCTAGTGGGCATTTCCTTATATGTGACTTGATGCATTTCTCTTTCTGTTTTTAGAATTTTTCTTTGTCTTTAACTTTTGACAATTTTACTATAATGTGCCCCAGGGTGAAACTTTTTGAATTGAATACATTTAGAAACTTTTAAACTTCGTGAACCTGGATGCTCATGTATCTCCCAAGATTTGAGATTCTCTTCAGATATTGTTTTATTAAATTAAATAGGCTTTCTATGTCCTTTCTTATCTCTTCTCCTTCTTAAACTACCATAATGTGAATATCTGTTTGCTTTATGGTGTCCCATACGTCCCGTAAATTTTTTTTTTCTCTCTGTCTTTTCTGCCTTGGTTATTTCAAAAGACCTGTCTTCACATTTAGAAATTCTTTTTTTCTGCTTGATTTCATCTTAGCTGTTAATTTCATTGTTTATTTCCCTCATGAAATTCTTCAGCTCCAAGATTTCTGTTTGGTATTTTATATCTCTTTGTTGAATTTCTTATTCAAATCATTAATTTTCCTGATTTCTTTGAATTGTCTATCTGTATTTTCCTGTATCTCATTGATCCCTTAAGATTATTATTTTCAATTATTAATACTTCTCTGGCATTTTGTACATTTTCATTTCTTTAGGACTCTGTTCCTAGAGAATTATTATGCTTCTTTGAGGTGTCCTGTTTCCTTGCTTTTTCATATTTATTGTGTCCCTATGTTGATATCTGCTCATCTAACGGAACAGTTGCCTCTTTCAGTTTTATAAAATAGCTTTCATAAGGACTTATTCCTGTAGCTAGATCCTAGGGTATTGGCTGGGGAAGGCACACTGATTTTGGTTCTGGAAAGATAGGGTAGTGCAATGTTCATGCAGTGTCTTCAGCTATAATTTATGTTAGTGACGCTTGCGAGTGCCTCAGTGACCTAGGCTACAGGAGTTTGTGGTGGCAGTGTTGTGGCTTAGCCAGAGGTGGGCTTACCAAATTGGCTTATAGGCAAGGGGCATGCATGTGCACATGGGGGCAGGACTGCTGGGTTGTTTCTCTGGCTAGGGGTGCAGTGCATGATGTGTTGGCTGACTTGAGAACTGGCTCACTGGGGGTGGGGCCACCAGGCTATATCTCCAGCTGCAGGGATGGGCATGTGGTGGCTCCATGATTTGGGGACATTTTCTCAAGGGGCGGGTCAATTTGGCTGTTTCTCCAGCCAGGGGCACAGTGGTCAACTGATTTTGACAAAGGTCCAAAGGCAAAGAAATGGACGAAGGATAGTTTCCCAACAAAAATGTTGAAACAATTGGACATCCACTTTTTTCAGAAATCCCTTTTTTTCTTACCACACCTCTCCCTCAAGCCTCTTTGCAGGTCCCACATGAATAATTTTTTGCTTATAAATAGCATGTCCCTAGAGAGGAGCAATGGTAGCAACCTGCCTCAGATGCAGGCAATAAGGGAGTACCTTGTCTGGAGAATTTAAAAAATAATAATGACATTAAGAGATAATCTGTTTTTTAAATCACTGTTACAGCAACTCTAAGCAATGCCACTGATGATACACACCTCTCTCAAGACTATCTTTTTATGGGAGTCTAACTTCTAATCACTTCTGTTGAGTTTAGTAATGTATGTGTGAGCTTTAAATTAGCACATTTCTATTACTTATCCTTGAATAGACATTTTATTGTACGTTGAAGTTAATTTGGAGAACTCTTGGTTATTATAGTCAGCCCCCAGCAGACACAAATTTAGCTACACACATTCCTCTTGAAAGTAAATTCATGGCCAGGCACAGTGGCTCACGCCTGTAATCCCAGCACTTTGGGAGGCCAAGGCGGGTGGATCACAAGGTCAGGAGTTTGAGACCAGCCTGGCCAAGATGGTGAAACCCGTCTCTATTAAAAATAAAAAATTAGCTGGGTGCAGTGGTAGGTGCCTGTAGTCCCAGCTACTTGGGAGGCTGAGGCAGGAGAATCGCTTGAATCTGGGAGGCGGAGGTTGCAGTGAGCCGAGATCATGCCACTGCACTCCAGCCTGGGCAACAGAGCAAGACTCCATCTCAAAAAAAAAAAAAAAAGAAAGAAAGAAAAAGAAAGCAAATTCATAAAGGTATGGACACTAGATTCAAATTAACCAAGAATAGCACAGTGATTGTAAAAATGAAGAAACAGAAATTGGGTTACTTCTATTCTGTCATTCTATACAACCACTTGGAGTTTCCATTTGCCTCTGAAATTTCTGGAATTTATTGTGAAATAGAATGTTTATGATTCATTGCCAAATTTATTCTCATGTTTAAAATCTTTTCTGTCTATGCATATACCTGCTGTTTCACGCAAAATAAACTTTTCAAAAACAAAATGGATAAATACTATTCCTTCATGAGTGAAGATGGATTGATGACTCTTTCTAGTACTGCTATTTTGAAGTCAATGACAAATCTGTAGAAGCTAAGGCTCTGAAACAGAAACTGTAATGTGATTATCTGTTACTGTAATAGACTAATAGGCAAGTATATGGGTTTTTTTGTTTAAATAATTTAAACATGCTAATCTATTAATAGTTCCTGTTTGTACTATAATATTTATTTTATTTTAATTTTTAATCAGCATAATTATACAAAATTCAGAAGAAAAACTTTACTGTCTATTTTTCTTTTCTGGCCATTATTAATTTCATTTCTTGATTATTAATGAAAATTATTTTAGTGTATTGGGGAAAGAGGTGTTAAAAAATATCTGCTTTGGTATTAAATGGGCCAGCTATGCTATTTATTATTAAACTCGTATTGTGATATAGACCTCAATCTTTTTTCTACTTTTTTTGTAGGGGAAGCACTGATTTTCAGATTGATTTGGGGCTATATGTGCACATCTGGCCCTGAGTGGTGAGCTTCCTCCACACTTTCCCTACTCACATCTCTACCAACGGTGGCCGGCTCATTTCATCTCCTCTCCACCAGGATGAATTCTCCTTTCTTTGCCCCTGCTGGGATGTGATATACACCTAAACCCATGGCTGCATCTGTCTATCTTGCCACCAGCACCAGACAAAGGTCCCTTTGCCTTCACAGCCCCATCATCCTACCTCTTACTTTTTTCAAGTCTACTCTTATCGACTGACAACTCATTGTAGATTGATTTGCATTTCTCTGATTAGTAACAGTTTTAAACATGTTTTACACTTGCTAGCCTCTTGGGATTCCTGTTGTGTAAATTGCCTGTTCATGTCCTTTGTCTGTTTTTCCTTTTTGCGATTGTCATTTTCTACTTGTTGACTCAAAGGCACTAGTGATTCCAGACACTGGTTCCTCATTTTAGAAATTGCAAATATCTTCTCTCCTGCTGTCATCTTCTTTGATCATGATGTCCTTCTTTAAACAGAAATTCTGTCCGCACACTTAGTCACCAATGAAGCAATGTCTTTAGGCCCTGTCCTTGCTACTGAGACTGGACAGATTGAGTTATTTGACCCAGGCATACCTCTTCCTATACAGTATATTACAGTTACTTCTAGCGCTCATTCATTTGATCTCTTTTCTGTATTTTTTACTTTCCTTCCTCAATTCTTTATTCAATAAAATATTTTTGAGCACATATTATGTACAATCAGTATACTAGTCATTGGGATATAAGAGTATACAAATAGGCATAGTCACTATGTTGGAGGGATGGAAAAAGAGAGATCAAATAATAAATAAAGAGAAAAATACCTTTATGCTCCAAAACTTGTGAAGCAACCAAGATGTCCTTCAGTAGGTGAATGGACAAATAAACTCTGGTACATCGAGACAATGGAATATTATTCAGCACTACAAAGTAATGGCTCATCAAGCTGTGAAGACATTGAGGAAACTTAAATGTATACTGCTAAGTGAATGAAGCCAATCTGAAAAGGCTGCATAACTGATGAATTCAACTTCATGACACTCAAAAAGGCAAAACTATAGAGACAGTAAAAAGATAAGTGGTTGCCAAGGGTTGGAGGAAGAAGGGATGCACAGGTAGAGCACAGAGGGCTTTTAGGGCAGTGAAAACACTCTGTATGATACTAAAATGGTGGATACTTGTCATCATATATTTATCCAAACCCACAGAATGAACACCAAGAATGAACCCTAAGATAAGCTATAAACTTTGTGTGATGAGGGTATGCCAATGTAGGGTCATCAATGGTAACAAATGTGCCACTCTGGTGGAGGATGTTGATATGGAGGAGGCTGTGCATGTGTCAGGGAAGGGGCATATGGGAAATCTCTGTGTCTTCCTCTTAATTTTGCTGTGAACCCAAAACTGATCTAAAACATACAGTAAATTATATGTAACATATATATAATTGTATATGTATACAATTCATCAGTTGATGATAAGTGTTATGAAAACAAATGATACATGGAAGGCAATAACGAGTGATGGGAATGCTTTTTGAGCTGGTCCAGAAGGTCTCTCTAAAGAAGTGCATTTGAGCAGAGCTAAAGGAAGCCAGTGAGTGAGCTATGATGAGAATATCAAGGGAAGAGCCTTCAGGCAGAAGGAACAGCACGTGCAAAGACACAGAGGCAAGAGCAAGCCTTGTGCGTGTTGCAGGAACAGCAAGTAGGTCTGTGCAGCTGGGGGCAAGCACATGAGAAAAAGAGTAGCAGAAAATAAACTGGAGGAGTAGGTGGGAGCCAGGTCACGCAGGAGTGAAAATGCAGGCATTAGTGAGGACTCTAGATTTCATTCTTCTCCTGATTGGCACAGACATTCTTTCTTAAGTTAACACCTTAAGCTCAATCTTTACTTTCTTTTTTAAAAAACTTTTATTTTAGGTTTAGGGCTACATGTGCAGGTTTGCTGCATAGGAAACTTGTGTCATGGGGGTTTGTTGTACAGATTATTTTATCACCCAGGTATTAAGCCTAGTACCCAATAGTTATCGTTTCTGTTCCTCTCCCTCCTCCTAAAATAGACCCCATGTCTACTGTTCCCTTCTTTGTGTTCATGAGTTCTCATCATTTAGCTCCCATTTATAAGTGAGAACATGTGGTATTTGATTTTCTGCTCCTGAATTAGTTTGCTAAGGATGATGGCCTCCAGATCCATCCATGTTCCTGAAAAATACATGATCTTGTTCTTTTTATGGCTGCATAGTTGTCCATGGTTTATATTACCACATTTTCTTTATCCATTCCATCACTGATAGGCATTTAGGTTGATACCCTGTCTTTGTTATTGTAAATGGTGTTGCAATGAACATTCATGTGCATGTATCTTATAGTAGAGTGATTTATATTCCTCTGGAAAAAAAAGCTCAATATCGCTGATCATTAGAGAAATGCAAATCAAAACTACAGTGAGATACCATCTTACACCAGTCAGAATGGCTACTATTAAAAAGTGGAAAACAAACAAACAACAGACACTGGCAAGGTTGCAGAGAAAAGGGAACACTTACACACTGTTGGCAGAAGTGTAAATTAGTGCAACCATTATGGAAAGCAGTGTTACAATTCCTCAAAGAGCTAAAAGCAGAACTAACATTCAACCCAGCAATCTTTTCTTTCAGGATGATTGTGTTTCAGCTCTGATTCATTACATACCTATTTTATGGTTTAAAATGAGAGACAGTCTTAATTTATCATCCTTCCAGATCATCCCCTCCCCATCAACCATCAGTTAAGTGATGCTGGGAAGCTTAAAAAGATAAAAATATGTGCAAGTGATATATTAGCCCCTGTATAAATATAGAGCATGATCATCATTGGAATTGCACACATTGACACCAAGAAGTCAGGAAGATTTTTATTTTTAATTAGCAGAGATAAATCACTTGTAGTCAACTGAGAGTTCAATAGCTCTTTTCAGTAAGAGTGGAGAAATTAATCCTTTGAAATCTGTGATCATTTTTTTATAAAAATAAAAAAATAAAGATTTTCTTAGCCCTAGCACTGCCATTTCCTGAGTAATTTAGTGCAATATGCTATTGGTTCAAAAGCGTTTTCAATTAAGAAAGACAAAACTTCCTATCACAAATTAATCAAAATTCACCTTAAGTGACTTGAATTAGCAACAGGAAAAGAATCTTCATCAACTTGAAAATTAAACTAAGCAACATTTGATTTATTATTTGGAAGTGCAAGTCAAAGGAAAATTTAATCGAAATTTTTAAATAAACAGCATGTGGTTTAAATTTCCTATTGCAAAATTCAATAACAAGTATGGAATTAGAGTATATATCGGGGATCAGTGTTCAGAAAACATTTCCAAAAACATCCTGCAGTCCCCCCACCTCATGTGAGGCAGACAGGCAGACAAGTCATGACTTGGGCCAAAGGGAGACATGATTTGCTATTTCCCCCATGAAGGCTATCTTTCAGTAGCTGGCACCCAACTCTGTAGGTGGAGCATCTTTTCATTTAGTTCATCTAGTTCTCTCCTACTGGTCTTCCAATCTCAGCTCACTGTCATCTCCTCAGAAAGACTCCTTCTGACCTCTCAGACCACAGTGCCAGAGTCCCTCTGTTTGTGGGGCTTGATGCAAGTGGCATTTGCAAGGCAGAGTTCATGTCATCTGCTCACACTGATCTCTAGTTCATGGCGCCAAGTAGATGCTCAATGAATATTTGTCAAATGAATGAAGGATGTGAGGAATTTGTGAAATCACCATGAGGGCAATTGCTGTTGAAGTACTTGAACTAGCAGATGGATGCAAAGATCCAAAAATGTACCATCTGGGAATTCTAGCTTTATTGTGATTAAAGATGAGATCCTCATTTTTTTTTCCTGGTGACCACATGCTTTTGATTTTCCTCAAGTTTTTGGAGTCAGGGTTTGATGCTATCTGTGACAGGTAAAAGCTGCCTTGGGATGGCTCCTCCCTTTCTGATAAAAATCCCCAGAAGCCAAAAAGAGGGGGCTCCCGATGACATGGCATGTGGACATCAACCAGGCCAAGCTTTGAGGTCAACTATTGGGTGGCCCTGAGGGCCTGGTTCCCATTTACTTCTACATGTGTCAGATCTTTCACTTCCTGATTTTGCCATTTCTAATCAAGGGAATCTAAACATAAAGCAAAGAGATGAGGGAGACAGGATAGGAGGGAAATGAGGGGAAAAAGAAAATATTTCAAAAGTAGTAGTGTAATGGAATGTAGTTCTTCTCTACAACATTTTCTTTAGACTATCTGATATAGAGCCAACTTCTCACCTGTTTTCTTTGTATATTTACCTCTGCCCAAAGAAATTCAGCTAAGAACTATTGCTCTCTCAAATGCTTCCAAATGTTATTGTGATAAATTATTGTAAATTCCCCAATCATTTAAAAAAGCTTTATGTGTAAGATAATAAAGAGAACTCTAAAGCCAACCAGACAGAATAAAATTTAACATCACAGCCAGGGTCCAGCAGAGACTGTTGGGGCTGGAAGTTTTCTATCTGCTCCCAGTATTTTCCCAACTGTGGTCCATAGAACATCAGTGTCAATATCAATGAGGAGCTTTTAAAATGAGAATTTCTGGAAATTGCCACTGGGGATTACACATTGCCCAGATAATTCTTAGAAACTGGTTTGGGCTAGGTGCGGTGGCTCACGCCTGTAATCCCAGCACTTGAGGAGGCTGAGGCAGGTGGATCATGAGGTCAGGAGTTCAAGACTAGCCTGGCCAAGATGGTGAAAGCCCATCACTACTAAAAATACAAAAATTAGCCAGGTATGGTGGCACGCACCTGTAATCCCAGCTACTCGGGAGGCTGAGGCAGAGAATTGCTTACATCTGGGAGGCGGAGTCTGCAGTGAGCCGAGATTGCAACACTGCACTCCAGCCTGGGCAACAGAGCAAGACTCTGTCTCAGAAAGAAAGACAGAGACTCTCTGGTTTGAGAACCACTGGTCTCACCTGGCCCTTGTGTCTTACAAATGGGGAAGATTAGGCACATCCCAGGATGACCCAACTGGTGAGAAGCAGGGAACAGCCTGACTCTGACTGGGACCTTTCTCTGTGATCACCATCAGACCCAGAGCTTTCAGTGAGGTCTGCTAGTGATAAAAATAAAGACACACTTCCTACAGACCTGCAGTAGAGCTGCTTGCTGCCCACACCATTCTGCAATCCGTGGGATTAAATGTCTTGATTGTCGGAACTGGCTACAATACCAAAGGCTGGGGGTTGCAGCAGGTCTCCAGCTGGAGGTGATTGGTGGTCTTTGAAAATGTGCTCCAGCAAGTGTTCCTGCTCAAACTTTTATGGCCCAGGACACCCCAGGTGGGGGTGCAGTGGGGGACACAGTGGCAGAGGGGCAACTCACTTCAATGGAGCTTGAAGCACTAGGAGTGCGAGAAGACTGTGGACACAGTAGCCTTTGGGTAGCAATTTCCCTCCACCTCACCATATGAA